>NC_000010.11:41497540-41545720 GCF_000001405.40 Homo sapiens
AGAATTCTCAGTAACTTCTTTGTGTTGTTAGTATTCAACCCACAGATTTGAACCTTCCTTTAGAGAGAGCAGATTTGAGACACTCTGTTTTTGGAATTTGCAAGTGCAGATTTCATGCGCTTCTAGGCCTATGGCAGAAAAGGAAATATCTTCGTATAAAAACTACACAGAATCATTCTCAAAAACTACTTTGTGATGTGTGCGTTCAACTCACAGAGTTTAACCTTTCTTTTCATAGAGCAGTTTGGAAACACTCTGTTTGTAAAGTCTGCAGGTGCTTATTTGTACTTCTTTGAGGCCTTCGTTGGAAACGGGATTTCTTCATATAATGCTAGACAGAAGAATTCTCAGTCACTTCTTTGTGTTGTGGTATTCAAGTCACAGAGTTGAAACTTCCTTTAGACCGAGTAGTTTTGAAAAACTCTTTCTTTGGAATTTGCAACTGGAGGTTTCAAGCAATTTGAGGCCAATCTTTGAAATGGAATTATCTTCGTGTAAAAACTACACAGAATCATTCACAGGAACTACTTTCTGATGTGTGCGTTCAACACACGGAGTTTAACCTTTCTTTTCATAGAGCAGTTTGGAAACACTCTGTTTGTAAAGTCTGCAAGTGCATATTTGGACCTCTTTGAAGCGTTCGTTGGAAACGTGATTTCTTCATATAATGCTAGGCAGAAGAATTATCAGTCACTTCTTTGTGTTGTGTGTATTCAAGTCACAGAGTTAAACCTTCCTTTAGACAGAGCAGTTTTGAAAAACTCTTTCTGTGGAATTTGCAAGTGGAGATTTCAAGCGATTTGAGGCCAATCTTTGAAATGGAAATCTCTTCGTGTAAAAACTACACAGAATCATTCACAGAAACTGCTTTGTTATGTGTGCGTTCAACTCACAGAGTTTCACCTTTCTTTTCAAACAGCAGTTTGGAAAGACTCTGTCTGTAAAGTCTGCAAGTGAATACTTGGACCCCTTTGAGGACTTCGTTGGAAGTGGGATTTTTTCACTTACTGCTAGACAGAAGAATTCTCAGTAAATCCTTTGTGTTGTGTGAATTCAACTCACAGAGTTGAACCTTCCTTTATTCAGAGCAGTTTTGAAACACTCTTTTTGTGGAATTTCCAGGTGGAGATTTCAAGAGATTTGACGCCTATCTTAGACATGGAAATATCTTCGTATTAAAACTACAGAGTCATTCGTAGAAACTAGTTTGTGATGTGTGCCTTCAACTCACAGAGTTTAACCTTTCTTTTCATAGAGCACTTTGGAAACACTCTGTTTGTAAAGTCTGCAAGTGGATATTTGGACCTCTTTGAGGACTCAGTTGGAAACGGGATTTCTTCATATAACGCTAGACAGAAGAATTCTCATTAACTTCTTTGTGTTGTGTGCATTCAACTCACAGAGTTGAAACTTTCTTTAGAGAGAGCAGATTTGAAACACTCTTTCTGTGGAATTTGCTAGTGCAGATATCAAACGCTTCGAGGACAATGGCAGAAAAGGTTATATCTTCATATTAAAATTAGACAAAATCATTCTCAGAATACACTTTGTGATGTGTGTGTTCAACTCACAGAGTTTAACATTCCTTTAATCGAGCAGTTAGGAAACACTCTTTTTGTAAAGTCTGCAAGTGGATAATTGGCCGTCTTTGAGCCCTTCGCTGGAAACGGGATTTCCTCATACAATGCTAGACCGAAGAATTCTCAGTAACTTCTTCGTGTTGTTTGTATTCAACTCAGAGATTTGAACCTTCCTTTGGAGAGAGCAGATTTGAAAAACTCTTTTTTTGGTATTTGCAAGTACAGATTTCAAGCGCTCCTAGGCCTATGGCAGAAAAGGAAATATCTTCGTATAAAAACTACACAGAATCATTCTCAACAACTACTTTGTGATGTGAGCGTTCAACTCACAGAGTTTAACCTTTCTTTTCATAGAGCACTTTGGAAAGACTCTGTCTGTAAAGTCTGCAAGTGCTTATTTGGACTTCTTTGAGGCCTTCGTTGGAAACGGGATTTCTTCATATAACGCTGGACAGAAGAATTCTCATTTACTTCTTTGTGTTGTGTGCATTCAACTCATGAGTTGAAACTTTCTTTAGAGAGAGCAGATTTGAAATACCCTTTCTGTGGAGTTTGCTAGTGCAGATTTCAAACGCTTCGAGGACAATGGTAGAAAAGGATATATCTTCGTATTAAAACTAGATAAAATCATTCTCAGAATACACTTTGTGATGTGTGTGTTCCACTTACAGAGTTTAACCTTTCTTTAATCGAGCAGTTTGGAAACACTCTCTTTGTAAAGTCTCCAAGTGGATAATTGGCCCTCTTTGAGCCCTTCGTTGGAAACGGGATTTCCTCATATAATTCTAGACAGAAGAATTCTCAGTAACTTCTCTGTGTTGTTTGTATTCAACTCACAGATTTGAACCTTCCTTTAGAGAGAGCAGATTTGAAACACTCTGTTTTTGGAATTTGCAAGTGCAGATTTCAAGCACTTCTAGGCCTATGGCAGAAAAGGAAATATCTTCGTATAAAAACTACACAGAATCATTCTCAACAACTACTTTGTGATGTGTGCGTTCAACTCACAGAGTTTAACCTTTCTTTTCATAGAGCAGTTTGGAAACACTCTGTTTGTAAAGCCTGCAAGTGCTTTTTTGGACTTCATTGAGGCCTTCGTTGGAAACGGGATTTCTTCATATAATGCTAGACAGAAGAATTCTCAGTCACTTCTTTGTGTTGTGGTATTCAAGTCACAGAGTTGAAACTTCCTTTAGACAGAGCAGTTTTGAAAATCTCTTTCTGTGGAATTTGCAAGTGGAGATTTCAAGCGATTTGAGGCCAATTTTGAAATGGAAATATCTTCGTGTAAAAACTACACAGAATCATTCTCAGGAACTACTTTCTGATGTGTGCGTTCAACACACGGAGTTTAACCTTTCTTTTCATAGAGCAGTTTGGAAACACTCTGTTTGTAAAGTCTGCAAGTGCTTATTTGGACCTCTTTGAGGCCTTCGTTGGAAACGTGATTTCTTCATATAATGCTAGACAGAAGAATTATCAGTCACTTCTTTGTGTTGTGTGTATTCAAGTCACAGAGTTAAACCTTCCTTTAGACAGAGCAGTTTTGAGAAACTCTTTCTGTGGAATTTGCAAGTGGAGATTTCATGCGATTTGAGGCCAATCTTTGAAATGGAAATCTCTTCGTGTAAAAACTACACAGAAATCATTCTCAGAAACTGCTTTGTGATGTCTGCGTTCAGCTTACAGAGTTTCACCTTTCTTTTTATAGAGCAGTTTGGAAAGACTATGTCTGTAAAGTCTGCAAGTGAATACTTGGACCCCTTTGTGTACTTCGTTGGAAGAGGGATTTTTTCATTTACTGCTAGACAGAAGAATTCTCAGTAAATCCTTTGTGTTGTGTGAATTCAACTCACAGAGTTGAACCTTCCTTTATTCAGAGCAGTTTTGAAACACTCTTTTTGTGGAATTTCCACGTGGAGATTTCAAGAGATTTGACGCCTATCTTAGACATGGAAATATCTTCGTATTAAAACTACAGAGTCATTCGTAGAAACTAGTTTGTGATGTGTGCCTTCAACTTACAGAGTTTAACCTTTCTTTTCATAGAGCAGTTGGGAAACACTCTATTTGTAAAGTCTGCAAGTGGATATTTGGACCTCTTTGAGGCCTTCGTTGGAAACGGGATTTCTTCATATAACGCTAGACAGAAGAATTCTCATTAACTTCTTTGTGTTGTGTGCATTCAACTCACAGAGTTGAAACTTTCTTTAGAGAGAGCAGATTTGAAACACTCTTTCTGTGGAATTTGCTAGTGCAGATATCAAACGCTTCGAGGACAATGGCAGAAAAGGTTATATCTTCATATTAAAATTAGACAAAATCATTCTCAGAATACACTTTGTGATGTGTGTGTTCAACTCACAGAGTTTAACATTCCTTTAATCGAGCAGTTAGGAAACACTCTTTTTGTAAAGTCTGCAAGTGGATAATTGGCCGTCTTTGAGCCCTTCGCTGGAAACGGGATTTCCTCATAGAATGCTAGACGGAAGAATTCTCAGTAACTTCTTCGTGTTGTTTGTATTCAACTCAGAGATTTGAACCTTCCTTTCGAGAGAGCAGATTTGAAAAACTCTTTTTTTGGTATTTGCAAGTACAGATTTCAAGCGCTCCTAGGCCTATGGCAGAAAAGGAAATATCTTCGTATAAAAACTACACAGAATCATTCTCAACAACTACTTTGTGATGTGAGCGTTCAACTCACAGAGTTTAACCTTTCTTTTCATAGAGCACTTTGGAAAGACTCTGTCTGTAAAGTCTGCAAGTGCTTATTTGGACTTCTTTGAGGCCTTCGTTGGAAACGGGATTTCTTCATATAACGCTGGACAGAAGAATTCTCATTTACTTCTTTGTGTTGTGTGCATTCAACTCACAGAGTTGAAACTTTCTTTAGAGAGAGCAGATTTGAAACACCCTTTCTGTGGAGTTTGCTAGTGCAGATTTCAAACGCTTCGAGGACAATGGTAGAAAAGGATATATCTTCGTATTAAAACTAGATAAAATCATTCTCAGAATACACTTTGTGATGTGTGTGTTCCACTTACAGAGTTTAACCTTTCTTTAATCGAGCAGTTTGGAAACACTCTCTTTGTAAAGTCTCCAAGTGGATAATTGGCCCTCTTTGAGCCCTTCGTTGGAAACGGGATTTCCTCATATAATTCTAGACAGAAGAATTCACAGTAACTTCTTTGTGTTGTTTGTATTCAACTCACGGATTTGAACCTTCCTTTAGAGAGAGCAGATTTGAAACACTCTTTTTTTGGAATTTGCAAGGGCAGATTTCAAGCTCTTCTAGGCCTATGGCAGAAAAGGAAATATCTTCGTATAAAAACTACACAGAATCATTCTCAACAACTACTTTGTGATGTGTGTGTTCAACTCACAGAGTTTAACCTTTCTTTTCATAGAGCAGTTTGGAAACACTCTGTTTGTAATGTCTGCAAGTGCATATTTGGACTTCTTTGAGGCCTTCGTTGGAAACGGGATTTCTTCACATAATGCTTGACAGAAAGAATTCTCAGTCATTTCTTTGTGTTGTGGTATTCAAGTCACAGAGTTGAAACTTCCTTTAGACAGAGCAGTTTTGAAAATCTCTTTCTGTGGAATTTGCAAGTGGAGATTTCAAGCGATTTGAGGCCAATCTTTGAAATGGAAATATCTTCGTGTAAAAACTACACAGAATCATTCTCAGGAACTGCTTTCTGATGTGTGCGTTCAACACACGGAGTTTAACCTTTCTTTTCATAGAGCAGTTTGGAAACACTCTGTTTGTAAAGTCTGCAAGTGCATATTTGGACCTCTTTGAGGCCTTCGTTGGAAACGTGATTTCTTCATATAATGCTAGACAGAAGAATTATCAGTCACTTCTTTGTGTTGTGTGTATTCAAGTCACAGAGTTGAACCTTCCTTTAGACAGAGCAGTTTTGAAAAACTCTTTCTGTGGAATTTGCAAGTGGAGATTTCAAGCGATTTGAGGCCAATCTTTGAAATGGAAATCTCTTCGTGTAAAAACTACACAGAATCATTCTCAGAAACTGCTTTGTGATGTCTGCGTTCAGCTTACAGAGTTTCACCTTTCTTTTTATAGAGCAGTTTGGAAAGACTATGTCTGTAAAGTCTGCAAGTGAATACTTGGACCCCTTTGTGTACTTCGTTGGAAGAGGGATTTTTTCATTTACTGCTAGACAGAAGAATTCTCAGTAAATCCTTTGTGTTGTGTGAATTCAACTCACAGAGTTGAACCTTCCTTTATTCAGAGCAGCTTTGAAACACTCTTTTTGTGGAATTTCCAGGTGCAGATTTCGAGAGATTTGACGCCTATCTTAGACATGGAAATATCTTCGTATTAAAACTACAGAGTCATTCGCAGAAACTAGTTTGTGATGTGTGCCTTCAACTCACAGAGTTTAACCTTTCTTTTCATAGAGCAGTCTGGAAACACTCTGTTTGTAAAGTCTGCAAGTGGATATTTGGACCTCTTTGAGGACTCAGTTGGAAACGGGATTTCTTCATATAACTCTAGACAGAAGAATTCTCATTAACTTCTTTGTGTTGTGTGCATTCAACTCACAGAGTTGAAACTTTCTTTAGAGAGAGCAGATTTGAAACACTCTTTCTGTGGAATTTGCTAGTGCAGATATCAAACGCTTCGAGGACAATGGCAGAAAAGGTTATATCTTCATATTAAAATTAGACAAAATCATTCTCAGAATACACTTTGTGATGTGTGTGTTCAACTCACAGAGTTTAACATTCCTTTAATCGAGCAGTTAGGAAACACTCTTTTTGTAAAGTCTGCAAGTGGATAATTGGCCGTCTTTGAGCCCTTCGCTGGAAACGGGATTTCCTCATACAATGCTAGACGGAAGAATTCTCAGTAACTTCTTCGTGTTGTTTGTATTCAACTCAGAGATTTGAACCTTCCTTTGGAGAGAGCAGATTTGAAAAACTCTTTTTTTGGTATTTGCAAGTACAGATTTCAAGCGCTCCTAGGCCTATGGCAGAAAAGGAAATATCTTCGTATAAAAACTACACAGAATCATTCTCAACAACTACTTTGTGATGTGAGCGTTCAACTCACAGAGTTTAACCTTTCTTTTCATAGAGCACTTTGGAAAGACTCTGTCTGTAAAGTCTGCAAGTGCTTATTTGGACTTCTTTGAGGCCTTCGTTGGAAACGGGATTTCTTCATATAACGCTGGACAGAAGAATTCTCATTTACTTCTTTGTGTTGTGTGCATTCAACTCACAGAGTTGAAACTTTCTTTAGAGAGAGCAGATTTGAAACACCCTTTCTGTGGAGTTTGCTAGTGCAGATTTCAAACGCTTCGAGGACAATGGTAGAAAAGGATATATCTTCGTATTAAAACTAGACAAAATCATTCTCAGAATACACTTTGTGATGTGTGTGTTCCACTTACAGAGTTTAACCTTTCTTTAATCGAGCAGTTTGGAAACACTCTCTTTGTAAAGTCTCCAAGTGGATAATTGGCCCTCTTTGAGCCCTTCGTTGGAAACGGGATTTCCTCATATAATTCTAGACAGAAGAATTCTCAGTAATTTCTTTGTGTTGGTTGTATTCAACTCACAGATTTGAACCTTCCTTTAGAGAGAGCAGATTTCAAACACTCTTTTTTTGGAATTTGCAAGTGCACATTTCAAGCGCTTCTAGGCCTATGGCAGAAAAGGGAATATCGTCGTATAAAAACTACACAGAATCATTCTCAACAACTACTTTGTGATGTGTGTGTTCAACTCACAGAGTTTAACCTTTCTTTTCATAGAGCAGTTTGGAAACACTCTGTTTGTAATGTCTGCAAGTGCATATTTGGACTTCTTTGAGGCCTTCGTTGGAAACGGGATTTCTTCATATAATGCTTGACAGAAGAATTCTCAGTCACTTCTTTGTGTTGTGGTATTCAAGTCACAGAGTTGAAACTTCCTTTAGACAGAGCAGTTTTGAAAATCTCTTTCTGTGGAATTTGCAAGTGGAGATTTCAAGCGATTTGAGGCCAATCCTTGAAATGGAAATATCTTCGTGTAAAAACTACACAGAATCATTCTCAGGAACTACTTTCTGATGTGTGCGTTCAACACACGGAGTTTAACCTTTCTTTTCATAGAGCAGTTTGGAAACACTCTGTTTGTAAAGTCTGCAAGTGCTTATTTGGACCTCTTTGAGGCCTTCGTTGGAAACGTGATTTCTTCATATAATGCTAGACAGAAGAATTATCAGTCACTTCTTTGTGTTGTGTGTATTCAAGTCACAGAGTTAAACCTTCCTTTAGACAGAGCAGTTTTGAAAAACTCTTTCTGTGGAATTTGCAAGTGGAGATTTCAAGCGATTTGAGGCCAATCTTTGAAATGGAAATCTCTTCGTGTAAAAACTACACAGAATCATTCTCAGAAACTGCTTTGTGATGTCTGCGTTCAGCTTACAGAGTTTCACCTTTCTTTTTATAGAGCAGTTTGGAAAGACTCTGTCTGTAAAGTCTGCAAGTGAATACTTGGACCCCTTTGTGTACTTTGTTGGAAGAGGGATTTTTTCATTTACTGCTAGACAGAAGAATTCTCAGTAAATCCTTTGTGTTGTGTGAATTCAACTCACAGAGTTGAACCTTCCTTTATTCAGAGCAGTTTTGAAACACTCTTTTTGTGGAATTTCCACGTGGAGATTTCAAGAGATTTGACGCCTATCTTAGACATGGAAATATCTTCGTATTAAAACTACAGAGTCATTCGCAGAAACTAGTTTGTGATGTGTGCCTTCAACTCACAGAGTTTAACCTTTCTTTTCATAGAGCAGTCTGGAAACACTCTGTTTGTAAAGTCTGCAAGTGGATATTTGGACCTCTTTGAGGACTCAGTTGGAAACGGGATTTCTTCATATAACGCTAGACAGAAGAATTCTCATTAACTTCTTTGTGTTGTGTGCATTCAACTCACAGAGTTGAAACTTTCTTTAGAGAGAGCAGATTTGAAACACTCTTTCTGTGGAATTTGCTAGTGCAGATATCAAACGCTTCGAGGACAATGGCAGAAAAGGTTATATCTTCATATTAAAATTAGACAAAATCATTCTCAGAATACACTTTGTGATGTGTGTGTTCAACTCACAGAGTTTAACATTCCTTTAATCGAGCAGTTAGGAAACACTCTTTTTGTAAAGTCTGCAAGTGGATAATTGGCCGTCTTTGAGCCCTTCGCTGGAAACGGGATTTCCTCATACAATGCTAGACGGAAGAATTCTCAGTAACTTCTTCGTGTTGTTTGTATTCAACTCAGAGATTTGAACCTTCCTTTGGAGAGAGCAGATTTGAAAAACTCTTTTTTTGGTATTTGCAAGTACAGATTTCAAGCGCTCCTAGGCCTATGGCAGAAAAGGAAATATCTTCGTATAAAAACTACACAGAATCATTCTCAACAACTACTTTGTGATGTGAGCGTTCAACTCACAGAGTTTAACCTTTCTTTTCATAGAGCACTTTGGAAAGACTCTGTCTGTAAAGTCTGCAAGTGCTTATTTGGACTTCTTTGAGGCCTTCGTTGGAAACGGGATTTCTTCATATAACGCTGGACAGAAGAATTCTCATTTACTTCTTTGTGTTGTGTGCATTCAACTCACAGAGTTGAAACTTTCTTTAGAGAGAGCAGATTTGAAACACCCTTTCTGTGGAGTTTGCTAGTGCAGATTTCAAACGCTTCGAGGACAATGGTAGAAAAGGATATATCTTCGTATTAAAACTAGACAAAGTCATTCGCAGAAACTGGTTTGTGATGTGTGCCTTCAACTCACAGAGTTTAACCATTCTTTTCATACAGCAGTTTGGAAACACTCTATTTGTAAAGTCGGCAAGTGGATATTTGGACCTCTTTGAGACCTTCCTTGGAAACGGGATTTCTTCATATAACGCTAGACAGAAGAATTCTCAGTAACTTCTTTGTGTTGTGTGTATTCAACTCACAGATTTGAACCTTCCTTTAGAGAGAGCAGATTTGAAACACTCTTTTTGTGGAATTTGCAAGTGCAGATTTCAAGCGCTTCTAGGTCTATGGCAGAAAAGGGAATATCTTCGTATGAAAACTACACAGAATCATTCTCAACAACTACTTTGTGATGTGTGTGTTCAACTCACAGAGTTTAACCTTTCTTTTCATAGAGCAGTTTGGAAACACTCTGTTTGTAATGTCTGCAAGTGCATATTTGGACTTCTTTGAGGCCTTCGTTGGAAACGGGATTTCTTCATATAATGCTTGACAGAAGAATTATCAGTCACTTCTTTGTGTTGTGTGTATTCAAGTCACAGAGTTGAACCTTCCTTTAGACAGAGCAGTTTTGAAAAACTCTTTCTGTGGAATTTGCAAGTGGAGATTTCAAGCGATTTGAGGCCAATCTTTGAAATGGAAATCTCTTCGTGTAAAAACTACACAGAATCATTCTCAGAAACTGCTTTGTGATGTCTGCGTTCAGCTTGCAGAGTTTCACCTTTCTTTTTATAGAGCAGTTTGGAAAGACTCTGTCTGTAAAGTCTGCAAGTGAATACTTGGACCCCTTTGTGTACTTTGTTGGAAGAGGGATTTTTTCATTTACTGCTAGACAGAAGAATTCTCAGTAAATCCTTTGTGTTGTGTGAATTCAACTCACAGAGTTGAACCTTCCTTTATTCAGAGCAGTTTTGAAACACTCTTTTTGTGGAATTTCCAGGTGGAGATTTCAAGAGATTTGACGCCTAACTTAGACATGGAAATATCTTCGTATTAAAACTACAGAGTCATTCGCAGAAACTAGTTTGTGATGTGTGCCTTCAACTCACAGAGTTTAACCTTTCTTTTCATAGAGCAGTCTGGAAACACTCTGTTTGTAAAGTCTGCAAGTGGATATTTGGACCTCTTTGAGGACTCAGTTGGAAACGGGATTTCTTCATATAACGCTAGACAGAAGAATTCTCATTAACTTCTTTGTGTTGTGTGCATTCAACTCACAGAGTTGAAACTTTCTTTAGAGAGAGCAGATTTGAAACACTCTTTCTGTGGAATTTGCTAGTGCAGATATCAAACGCTTCGAGGACAATGGCAGAAAAGGTTATATCTTCATATTAAAATTAGACAAAATCATTCTCAGAATACACTTTGTGATGTGTGTGTTCAACTCACAGAGTTTAACATTCCTTTAATCGAGCAGTTAGGAAACACTCTTTTTGTAAAGTCTGCAAGTGGATAATTGGCCGTCTTTGAGCCCTTCGCTGGAAACGGGATTTCCTCATATAATGCTAGACCGAAGAATTCTCAGTAAATTCTTCGTGTTGTTTGTATTCAACTCAGAGATTTGAACCTTCCTTTGGAGAGAGCAGATTTGAAAAACTCTTTTTTTGGTATTTGCAAGTATAGATTTCAAGCGCTCCTAGGCCTATGGCAGAAAAGGAAATATCTTCGTATAAAAACTACACAGAATCATTCTCAACAACTAGTTTGTGATGTGAGCGTTCAACTCACAGAGTTTAACCTTTCTTTTCATAGAGCACTTTGGAAAGACTCTGTCTGTAAAGTCTGCAAGTGCTTATTTGGACTTCTTTGAGGCCTTCGTTGGAAACGGGATTTCTTCATATAACGCTGGAGAGAAGAATTCTCAGTAACTTCTTTCTGTTGTGTGTATTCAACTCACAGGGTTGAACCTTTCTTTACAGAGAGCAGATGTGAAACATTCTTTCCGTGGAATGCGCTAGTGCAGATTTCAAACGCTTCGAGGACAATGGTAGAAAAGTATATATCTTCGTATTAGAACGAGAGAAAATCATTCTCAGAATACACTTTGTGATGTGTGTGTTCCACTTACAGAGTTTAACCTTTCTTTAATCGAGCAGTTTGGAAACACTCTCTTTGTAAAGTCTCCAATGGATAATTGGCCCTCTTTGAGCCCTTCGTTGGAAACGGGATTTCCTCATATAATTCTAGACAGAAGAATTCTCAGTAACTTCTTTGTGTTGTTTGTATTCAACTCACAGTATTTCAACCTTCCTTTAGAGAGAGCAGATTTGAAACACTCTTTTTTTGGTATTTGCAAGTGCAGATTCCAAGCGCTTCTAGGCCTATGGCAGAAAAGGAAATATCTTCGTATAAAAACTACACAGAATCATTCTCAACAACTACTTTGTGATGTGTGCGTTCAACTCACAGAGTTTAACCTTTCTTTTCATAGAGCACTTTGGAAACACTCTGTTTGTAAAGTCTGCAGCTGCTTATTTGGACTTCTTTGAGGCCTTCGTTGGAAACGGGGTTTCTTCATATAATGCTAGACAGAAGAATTCTCAGTCACTTCTTTGTGTTGTGGTATTCAAGTCACAGAGTTGAAACTTCCTTTAGACAGAGCAGTTTTGAAAATCTCTTTCTGTGGAATTTGCAAGTGTAGAATTCAAGCGATTTGGGGCCAATCTTTGAAATGGAAATATCTTCGTGTAAAAACTACACAGAATCATTCTCAGGAACTACTTTCTGATGTGTGCGTTCAACACACGGAGTTTAACCTTTCTTTTCATAGAGCAGTTTGGAAACACTCTGTTTGTAAAGTCTGCAAGTGCATATTTGGACCTCTTTGAGGCCTTCGTTGGAAACGTGATTTCTTCATATAATGCTAGGCAGAAGAATTATCAGTCACTTCTTTGTGTTGTGTGTATTCAAGTCACAGAGTTGAACCTTCCTTTAGACAGAGCAGTTTTGAAAAACTCTTTCTGTGGAATTTGCAAGTGGAGATTTCAAGCGATTTGAGGTCAATCTTTGAGATGGAAATATCTTCTGTGAAAACTACACAGAATCATTCTCAGAAATTGCTTTGTGATGTCTGCGTTCAGCTTACAGAGTTTCACCTTTCTTTTTATAGAGCAGTTTGGAAAGACTCTGTCTGTAAAGTCTGCAAGTGAATACTTGGACCCCTTTGTGTATTTCGTTGGAAGAGGGATTTTTTCATTTACTGCTAGACAGAAGAATTCTCAGTAAATCCTTTGTGTTGTGTGAATTCAACTCACAGAGTTGAACCTTCCTTTATTCAGAGCAGCTTTGAAACACTCTTTTTGTGGAATTTCCAGGTGCAGATTTCGAGAGATTTGACGCCTATCTTAGACATGGAAATATCTTCGTATTAAAACTACAGAGTCATTCGCAGAAACTAGTTTGTGATGTGTGCCTTCAACTCACAGAGTTTAACCTTTCTTTTCATAGAGCAGTCTGGAAACACTCTGTTTGTAAAGTCTGCAAGTGGATATTTGGACCTCTTTGAGGACTCAGTTGGAAACGGGATTTCTTCATATAACGCTAGACAGAAGAATTCTCATTAACTTCTTTGTGTTGTGTGCATTCAACTCACAGAGTTGAAACTTTCTTTAGAGAGAGCAGATTTGAAACACTCTTTCTGTGGAATTTGCTAGTGCAGATATCAAACGCTTCGAGGACAATGGCAGAAAAGGTTATATCTTCATATTAAAATTAGACAAAATCATTCTCAGAATACACTTTGTGATGTGTGTGTTCAACTCACAGAGTTTAACATTCCTTTAATCGAGCAGTTAGGAAACACTCTTTTTGTAAAGTCTGCAAGTGGATAATTGGCCGTCTTTGAGCCCTTCGCTGGAAACGGGATTTCCTCATACAATGCTAGACGGAAGAATTCTCAGTAACTTCTTCGTGTTGTTTGTATTCAACTCAGAGATTTGAACCTTCCTTTCGAGAGAGCAGATTTGAAAAACTCTTTTTTTGGTATTTGCAAGTACAGATTTCAAGCGCTCCTAGGCCTATGGCAGAAAAGGAAATATCTTCGTATAAAAACTACACAGAATCATTCTCAACAACTACTTTGTGATGTGAGCGTTCAACTCACAGAGTTTAACCTTTCTTTTCATAGAGCACTTTGGAAAGACTCTGTCTGTAAAGTCTGCAAGTGCTTATTTGGACTTCTTTGAGGCCTTCGTTGGAAACGGGATTTCTTCATATAACGCTGGACAGAAGAATTCTCATTTACTTCTTTGTGTTGTGTGCATTCAACTCACAGAGTTGAAACTTTCTTTAGAGAGAGCAGATTTGAAACACCCTTTCTGTGGAGTTTGCTATTGCAGATTTCAAACGCTTCGAGGACAATGGTAGAAAAGGATATATCTTCGTATTAAAACTAGACAAAATCATTCTCAGAATACACTTTGTGATGTGTGTGTTCCACTTACAGAGTTTAACCTTTCTTTAATCGAGCAGTTTGGAAACACTCTCTTTGTAAAGTCTCCAAGTGGATAATTGGCCCTCTTTGAGCCCTTCGTTGGAAACGGGATTTCCTCATATAATTCTAGACAGAAGAATTCTCAGTAACTTCTTTGTGTTGTTTGTATTCAACTCACAGATTTCAACCTTCCTTTAGAGAGAGCAGATTTGAAACACTCTTTTTTTGGTATTTGCAAGTGCAGATTCCAAGCGCTTCTAGGCCTATGGCAGAAAAGGAAATATCTTCGTATAAAAACTACACAGAATCATTCTCAACAACTACTTTGTGATGTGTGTGTTCAACTCACAGAGTTTAACCTTTCTTTTCATAGAGCAGTTTGGAAACACTCTGTTTGTAATGTCTGCAAGTGCATATTTGGACTTCTTTGAGGCCTTCGTTGGAAACGGGATTTCTTCATACAATGCTTGACAGAAGAATTCTCAGTCATTTCTTTGTGTTGTGGTATTCAAGTCACAGAGTTGAAACTTCCTTTAGACAGAGCAGTTTTGAAAATCTCTTTCTGTGGAATTTGCAAGTGTAGATTACAAGCGATTTGAGGCCAATCTTTGAAATGGAAATATCTTCGTGTAAAAACTACACAGAATCATTCTCAGGAACTGCTTTCTGATGTGTGCGTTCAACACACGGAGTTTAACCTTTCTTTTCATAGAGCAGTTTGGAAACACTCTGTTTGTAAAGTCTGCAAGTGCATATTTGAACCTCTTTGAGGCCTTCGTTGGAAACGTGATTTCTTCATATAATGCTAGATAGAAGAATTATCAGTCACTTCTTTGTGTTGTGTGTATTCAAGTCACAGAGTTGAACCTTCCTTTAGACAGAGCAGTTTTGAAAAACTCTTTCTGTGGAATTTGCAAGTGGAGATTTCAAGCGATTTGAGGCCAATCTTTGAAATGGAAATCTCTTCGTGTAAAAACTACACAGAATCATTCTCAGAAACTGCTTTGTGATGTCTGCGTTCAGCTTACAGAGTTTCACCTTTCTTTTTATAGAGCAGTTTGGAAAGACTATGTCTGTAAAGTCTGCAAGTGAATACTTGGACCCCTTTGTGTACTTCGTTGGAAGAGGGATTTTTTCATTTACTGCTAGACAGAAGAATTCTCAGTAAATCCTTTGTGTTGTGTGAATTCAACTCACAGAGTTGAACCTTCCTTTATTCAGAGCAGCTTTGAAACACTCTTTTTGTGGAATTTCCAGGTGCAGATTTCGAGAGATTTGACGCCTATCTTAGACATGGAAATATCTTCGTATTAAAACTACAGAGTCATTCGCAGAAACTAGTTTGTGATGTGTGCCTTCAACTCACAGAGTTTAACCTTTCTTTTCATAGAGCAGTCTGGAAACACTCTGTTTGTAAAGTCTGCAAGTGGATATTTGGACCTCTTTGAGGACTCAGTTGGAAACGGGATTTCTTCATATAACGCTAGACAGAAGAATTCTCATTAACTTCTTTGTGTTGTGTGCATTCAACTCACAGAGTTGAAACTTTCTTTAGAGAGAGCAGATTTGAAACACTCTTTCTGTGGAATTTGCTAGTGCAGATATCAAACGCTTCGAGGACAATGGCAGAAAAGGTTATATCTTCATATTAAAATTAGACAAAATCATTCTCAGAATACACTTTGTGATGTGTGTGTTCAACTCACAGAGTTTAACATTCCTTTAATCGAGCAGTTAGGAAACACTCTTTTTGTAAAGTCTGCAAGTGGATAATTGGCCGTCTTTGAGCCCTTCGCTGGAAACGGGATTTCCTCATACAATGCTAGACGGAAGAATTCTCAGTAACTTCTTCGTGTTGTTTGTATTCAACTCAGAGATTTGAACCTTCCTTTGGAGAGAGCAGATTTGAAAAACTCTTTTTTTGGTATTTGCAAGTACAGATTTCAAGCGCTCCTAGGCCTATGGCAGAAAAGGAAATATCTTCGTATAAAAACTACACAGAATCATTCTCAACAACTACTTTGTGATGTGAGCGTTCAACTCACAGAGTTTAACCTTTCTTTTCATAGAGCACTTTGGAAAGACTCTGTCTGTAAAGTCTGCAAGTGCTTATTTGGACTTCTTTGAGGCCTTCGTTGGAAACGGGATTTCTTCATATAACGCTGGACAGAAGAATTCTCATTTACTTCTTTGTGTTGTGTGCATTCAACTCACAGAGTTGAAACTTTCTTTAGAGAGAGCAGATTTGAAACACCCTTTCTGTGGAGTTTGCTAGTGCAGATTTCAAACGCTTCGAGGACAATGGTAGAAAAGGATGTATCTTCGTATTAAAACTAGACAAAATCATTCTCAGAATACACTTTGTGATGTGTGTGTTCCACTTACAGAGTTTAACCTTTCTTTAATCGAGCAGTTTGGAAACACTCTCTTTGTAAAGTCTCCAAGTGGATAATTGGCCCTCTTTGAGCCCTTCGTTGGAAACGGGATTTCCTCATATAATTCTAGACAGAAGAATTCTCAGTAACTTCTTTGTGTTGTTTGTATTCAACTCACAGATTTCAACCTTCCTTTAGAGAGAGCAGATTTGAAACACTCTTTTTTTGGTATTTGCAAGTGCAGATTCCAAGCGCTTCTAGGCCTATGGCAGAAAAGGAAATATCTTCGTATAAAAACTACACAGAATCATTCTCAACAACTACTTTGTGATGTGTGTGTTCAACTCACAGAGTTTAACCTTTCTTTTCATAGAGCAGTTTGGAAACACTCTGTTTGTAATGTCTGCAAGTGCATATTTGGACTTCTTTGAGGCCTTCGTTGGAAACGGGATTTCTTCATACAATGCTTGACAGAGGAATTCTCAGTCACTTGTTTGTGTTGTGGTATTCAAGTCACAGTTTTCAAACTTCCATTAGACCGAGCAGTTTTGAAAATCTCTTTCTGTGGAATTTGCAAGGGGAGACTTCAAGCGATTTGAGGCTAATCTTTGAAATGGAAATATCTTCGTGTAAAAACTACACAGAATCATTCTCAGAAACTACTTTGTGATGTGCGCGTTCAACTCACAGGGTTTAACCTTTCTTTTCATAGAGCAGTTTGGAAACACTCTGGTTGTAAAGTCTGCAAGTGCATATTTGGACTTCTTTGAGGCCTTCATTGGAAACGGGATTTCTTCATATAATGCTAGACAGAAGAATTATCAGTCACTTCTTTGTGTTGTGTGTATTCAAGTCACAGAGTTGAACCTTCCTTTAGACAGAGCAGTTTTGAAAAACTCTTTCTGTGGAATTTGCAAGTGGAGATTTCAAGCGATTTGAGGCCAATCTTTGAAATGGAAATCTCTTCGTGTAAAAACTACACAGAATCATTCTCAGAAACTGCTTTGTGATGTCTGCGTTCAGCTTACAGAGTTTCACCTTTCTTTTTATAGAGCAGTTTGGAAAGACTATGTCTGTAAAGTCTGCAAGTGAATACTTGGACCCCTTTGTGTACTTCGTTGGAAGAGGGATTTTTTCATTTACTGCTAGACAGAAGAATTCTCAGTAAATCCTTTGTGTTGTGTGAATTCAACTCACAGAGTTGAACCTTCCTTTATTCAGAGCAGCTTTGAAACACTCTTTTTGTGGAATTTCCAGGTGGAGATTTCAAGAGATTTGACGCCTATCTTAGACATGGAAATATCTTCGTATTAAAACTACAGAGTCATTCGCAGAAACTAGTTTGTGATGTGTGCCTTCAACTCACAGAGTTTAACCTTTCTTTTCATAGAGCAGTCTGGAAACACTCTGTTTGTAAAGTCTGCAAGTGGATATTTGGACCTCTTTGAGGACTCAGTTGGAAACGGGATTTCTTCATATAACGCTAGACAGAAGAATTCTCATTAACTTCTTTGTGTTGTGTGCATTCAACTCACAGAGTTGAAACTTTCTTTAGAGAGAGCAGATTCGAAACACTCTTTCTGTGGAATTTGCTAGTGCAGATATCAAACGCTTCGAGGACAATGGCAGAAAAGGTTATATCTTCATATTAAAATTAGACAAAATCATTCTCAGAATACACTTTGTGATGTGTGTGTTCAACTCACAGAGTTTAACATTCCTTTAATCGAGCAGTTAGGAAACACTCTTTTTGTAAAGTCTGCAAGTGGATAATTGGCCGTCTTTGAGCCCTTCGCTGGAAACGGGATTTCCTCATACAATGCTAGACGGAAGAATTCTCAGTAACTTCTTCGTGTTGTTTGTATTCAACTCAGAGATTTGAACCTTCCTTTGGAGAGAGCAGATTTGAAAAACTCTTTTTTTGGTATTTGCAAGTACAGATTGCAAGCGCTCCTAGGCCTATGGCAGAAAAGGAAATATCTTCGTATAAAAACTACACAGAATCATTCTCAACAACTACTTTGTGATGTGAGCGTTCAACTCACAGAGTTTAACCTTTCTTTTCATAGAGCACTTTGGAAAGACTCTGTCTGTAAAGTCTGCAAGTGCTTATTTGGACTTCTTTGAGGCCTTCGTTGGAAACGGGATTTCTTCATATAACGCTGGACAGAAGAATTCTCATTTACTTCTTTGTGTTGTGTGCATTCAACTCACAGAGTTGAAACTTTCTTTAGAGAGAGCAGATTTGAAACACCCTTTCTGTGGAGTTTGCTATTGCAGATTTCAAACGCTTCGAGGACAATGGTAGAAAAGGATATATCTTCGTATTAAAACTAGACAAAATCATTCTCAGAATACACTTTGTGATGTGTGTGTTCCACTTACAGAGTTTAACCTTTCTTTAATCGAGCAGTTTGGAAACACTCTCTTTGTAAAGTCTCCAAGTGGATAATTGGCCCTCTTTGAGCCCTTCGTTGGAAACGGGATTTCCTCATATAATTCTAGACAGAAGAATTCTCAGTAACTTCTTTGTGTTGTTTGTATTCAACTCACAGATTTCAACCTTCCTTTAGAGAGAGCAGATTTGAAACACTCTTTTTTTGGTATTTGCAAGTGCAGATTCCAAGCGCTTCTAGGCCTATGGCAGAAAAGGAAATATCTTCGTATAAAAACTACACAGAATCATTCTCAACAACTACTTTGTGATGTGTGCGTTCAACTCACAGAGTTTAACCTTTCTTTTCATAGAGCAGTTTGGAAACACTCTGTTTGTAATGTCTGCAAGTGCATATTTGGACTTCTTTGAGGCCTTCGTTGGAAACGGGATTTCTTCATATAATGCTTGACAGAAGAATTCTCAGTCACTTCTTTGTGTTGTGGTATTCAAGTCACAGAGTTGAAACTTCCTTTAGACAGAGCAGTTTTGAAAATCTCTTTCTGTGGAATTTGCAAGTGGAGATTTCAAGCGATTTGAGGCCAATCTTTGAAATGGAAATATCTTCGTGTAAAAACTACACAGAATCATTCTCAGGAACTACTTTCTGATGTGTGCGTTCAACACACGGAGTTTAACCTTTCTTTTCATAGAGCAGTTTGGAAACACTCTGCTTGTAAAGTCTGCAAGTGCTTATTTGGACCTCTTTGAGGCCTTCGTTGGAAACGTGATTTCTTCATATAATGCTAGACAGAAGAATTATCAGTCACTTCTTTGTGTTGTGTGTATTCAAGTCACAGAGTTAAACCTTCCTTTAGACAGAGCAGTTTTGAAAAACTCTTTCTGTGGAATTTGCAAGTGGAGATTTCAAGCGATTTGAGGCCAATCTTTGAAATGGAAATCTCTTCGTGTAAAAACTACACAGAATCATTCTCAGAAACTGCTTTGTGATGTCTGCGTTCAGCTTACAGAGTTTCACCTTTCTTTTTATAGAGCAGTTTGGAAAGACTCTGTTTGTAAAGTCTGCAAGTGAATACTTGGACCCCTTTGTGTACTTCGTTGGAAGAGGGATTTTTTCATTTACTGCTAGACAGAAGAATTCTCAGTAAATCCTTTGTGTTGTGTGAATTCAACTCACAGAGTTGAACCTTCCTTTATTCAGAGCAGTTTTGAAACACTCTTTTTGTGGAATTTCCAGGTGGAGATTTCAAGAGATTTGACGCCTATCTTAGACATGGAAATATCTTCGTATTAAAACTACAGAGTCATTCGCAGAAACTAGTTTGTGATGTGTGCCTTCAACTCACAGAGTTTAACCTTTCTTTTCATAGAGCAGTCTGGAAACACTCTGTTTGTAAAGTCTGCAAGTGGATATTTGGACCTCTTTGAGGACTCAGTTGGAAACGGGATTTCTTCATATAACGCTAGACAGAAGAATTCTCATTAACTTCTTTGTGTTGTGTGCATTCAACTCACAGAGTTGAAACTTTCTTTAGAGAGAGCAGATTTGAAACACTCTTTCTGTGGAATTTGCTAGTGCAGATATCAAACGCTTCGAGGACAATGGCAGAAAAGGTTATATCTTCATATTAAAATTAGACAAAATCATTCTTAGAATACACTTTGTGATGTGTGTGTTCAACTCACAGAGTTTAACATTCCTTTAATCGAGCAGTTAGGAAACACTCTTTTTGTAAAGTCTGCAAGTGGATAATTGGCCGTCTTTGAGCCCTTCGCTGGAAACGGGATTTCCTCATACAATGCTAGACGGAAGAATTCTCAGTAACTTCTTCGTGTTGTTTGTATTCAACTCAGAGATTTGAACCTTCCTTTGGAGAGAGCAGATTTGAAAAACTCTTTTTTTGGTATTTGCAAGTACAGATTTCAAGCGCTCCTAGGCCTATGGCAGAAAAGGAAATATCTTCGTATAAAAACTACACAGAATCATTCTCAACAACTACTTTGTGATGTGAGCGTTCAACTCACAGAGTTTAACCTTTCTTTTCATAGAGCACTTTGGAAAGACTCTGTCTGTAAAGTCTGCAAGTGCTTATTTGGACTTCTTTGAGGCCTTCGTTGGAAACGGGATTTCTTCATATAACGCTGGACAGAAGAATTCTCATTTACTTCTTTGTGTTGTGTGCATTCAACTCACAGAGTTGAAACTTTCTTTAGAGAGAGCAGATTTGAAACACCCTTTCTGTGGAGTTTGCTAGTGCAGATTTCAAACGCTTCGAGGACAATGGTAGAAAAGGATATATCTTCGTATTAAAACTAGACAAAATCATTCTCAGAATACACTTTGTGATGTGTGTGTTCCACTTACAGAGTTTAACCTTTCTTTAATCGAGCAGTTTGGAAACACTCTCTTTGTAAAGTCTCCAAGTGGATAATTGGCCCTCTTTGAGCCCTTCGTTGGAAACGGGATTTCCTCATATAATTCTAGACAGAAGAATTCTCAGTAACTTCTTTGTGTTGTTTGTATTCAACTCACAGATTTCAACCTTCCTTTAGAGAGAGCAGATTTGAAACACTCTTTTGTTGGTATTTGCAAGTGCAGATTAAAAGCGCTTCTAGGCCTATGGCAGAAAAGGAAATATCTTCGTATAAAAACTACACAGAATCATTCTCGAAAACTACTTTGTGATGTTTGCGTTCATCTCACAGAGTTTAACCTTTCTTTTCATAGAGCAGTTTGGAAACACTCTGTTTGTAAAGTCTGCAGGTGCTTATTTGGACTTCTTTGAGGCCTTAATTGGAAACGGGATTTCTTCATATACTGCTAGACAGAAGAATTCTCAGTCACTTCTTTGTGTTGTGGTATTCAAGTCACAGAGTGGAAACTTCCTTTAGACCGAGTAGTTTTGAAAAACTCTTTCTGTGGAATTTGCAAGTGGAGATTTCAAGCAATTTGACGCCAATCTTTGAAATGGAAATATCTTCGTGTAAAAACTACACAGAATCATTCTCAGAAACTGCTTTGTTATGTGTGCGTTCAACTCACAGAGTTTCACCTTTCTTTTCATACAGCAGTTTGGAAAGACTCTGTCTGTAAAGTCTGCAAGTCAATACTTGGATTCCTTCGAGGCCTTCGTTGGAAGCTTGATTTTTTCACTTACTGCTAGACAGAAGAATTCTCAGTAAATCCTTTGTGTTGTGTGAATTCAACTCACAGAGTTGAACCTTCCTTTATTCAGAGCAGTTTTGAAACACTCTTTTTGTGGAATTTCCACGTGGAGATTTCAAGAGATTTGACGCCTATCTTAGACATGGAAATATCTTCGTATTAAAACTACAGAGTCATTCGCAGAAACTAGTTTGTGATGTGTGCCTTCAACTCACAGAGTTTAACCTTTCTTTTCATAGAGCACTCTGGAAACACTCTGTTTTTAAAGTCTGCAAGTGGATATTTGGACCTCTTTGAGGACTCAGTTGGAAACGGGATTTCTTCATATAACGCTAGACAGAAGAATTCTCATAAACTTCTTTGTGTTGTGTGCATTCAACTCACAGAGTTGAAACTTTCTTTAGAGAGAGCAGATTTGAAACACTCTTTCTGTGGAATTTGCTAGTGCAGATATCAAAAGCTTCGAGGACAATGGCAGAAAAGGTTATATCTTCATATTAAAATTAGACAAAATCATTCTCAGAATACACTTTGTGATGTGTGTGTTCAACTCACAGAGTTTAACATTCCTTTAATCGAGCAGTTAGGAAACACTCTTTTTGTAAAGTCTGCAAGTGGATAATTGGCCGTCTTTGAGCCCTTCGCTGGAAACGGGATTTCCTCATAGAATGCTAGACGGAAGAATTCTCAGTAAATTCTTCGTGTTGTTTGTATTCAACTCACAGATTTCAACCTTCCTTTGGAGAGAGCAGATTTGAAAAACTCTTTTTTTGGTATTTGCAAGTATAGATTTCAAGCGCTCCTAGGCCTATGGCAGAAAAGGAAATATCTTCGTATAAAAACTACACAGAATCATTCTCAACAACTACTTTGTGATGTGAGCGTTCAACTCACAGAGTTTAACCTTTCTTTTCATAGAGCACTTTGGAAAGACTCTGTCTGTAAAGTCTGCAAGTGCTTATTTGGACTTCTTTGAGGCCTTCGTTGGAAACGGGATTTCTTCATATAACGCTGGACAGAAGAATTCTCATTTACTTCTTTGTGTTGTGTGCATTCAACTCACAGAGTTGAAACTTTCTTTAGAGAGAGCAGATTTGAAACACCCTTTCTGTGGAGTTTGCTAGTGCAGATTTCAAACGCTTCGAGGACAATGGTAGAAAAGGATATATCTTCGTATTAAAACTAGACAAAATCATTCTCAGAATACACTTTGTGATGTGTGTGTTCCACTTACAGAGTTTAACCTTTCTTTAATCGAGCAGTTTGGAAACACTCTCTTTGTAAAGTCTCCAAGTGGATAATTGGCCCTCTTTGAGCCCTTCGTTGGAAACGGGATTTCCTCATATAATTCTAGACAGAAGAATTCTCAGTAACTTCTTTGTGTTGTTTGTATTCAACTCACAGATTTCAACCTTCCTTTAGAGAGAGCAGATTTGAAACACTCTTTTTTTGGTATTTGCAAGTGCAGATTCCAAGCGCTTCTAGGCCTATGGCAGAAAAGGAAATATCTTCGTATAAAAACTACACAGAAATCGTTCTCAACAACTACTTTGTGATGTGTGCGTTCAACTCACACAGATTACCCTTTCTTTTCATAGAGCAGTTTGGAAACACCCTGTTTGTAAAGTCTGCAGGTGCTTATTTGGACTTCTTTGAGGCCTTAGTTGGAAACGGGATTTCTTCATATAATGCTAGACAGAAAAATTCTCAGTCACTTCTTTGTGTTGTGGTATTCAAGTCACAGAGTTGAAACTTCCTTTAGACCGAGCAGTTTTGAAAAACTCTTTCTGTGGAATTTGCAAGTGGAGATTTCAAGCAATTTGAGGCCAATCTTTGAAATGGAAATATCTTCGTGTAAAAACTACACAGAATCATTCTCAGGAACTGCTTTCTGATGTGTGCGTTCAACACACGGAGTTTAACCTTTCTTTTCATAGAGCAGTTTGGAAACACTCTGTTTGTAAAGTCTGCAAGTGCATATTTGGACCTCTTTGAGGCCTTGGTTGGAAACGTGATTTCTTCATATAATGCTAGACAGAAGAATTATCAGTCACTTCTTTGTGTTGTGTGTATTCAAGTCACAGAGTTGAACCTTCCTTTAGACAGAGCAGTTTTGAAAAACTCTTTCTGTGGAATTTGCAAGTGGAGATTTCAAGCGATTTGAGGCCAATCTTTGAAATGGAAATCTCTTCGTGTAAAAACTACACAGAATCATTCTCAGAAACTGCTTTGTGATGTCTGCGTTCAGCTTACAGAGTTTCACCTTTCTTTTTATAGAGCAGTTTGGAAAGACTCTGTCTGTAAAGTCTGCAAGTGAATACTTGGACCCCTTTGTGTACTTCGTTGGAAGAGGGATTTTTTCATTTACTGCTAGACAGAAGAATTCTCAGTAAATCCTTTGTGTTGTGTGAATTCAACTCACAGAGTTGAACCTTCCTTTATTCAGAGCAGCTTTGAAACACTCTTTTTGTGGAATTTCCAGGTGCAGATTTCGAGAGATTTGACGCCTATCTTAGACATGGAAATATCTTCGTATTAAAACTACAGAGTCATTCGCAGAAACTAGTTTGTGATGTGTGCCTTCAACTCACAGAGTTTAACCTTTCTTTTCATAGAGCAGTCTGGAAACACTCTGTTTGTAAAGTCTGCAAGTGGATATTTGGACCTCTTTGAGGACTCAGTTGGAAACGGGATTTCTTCATATAACGCTAGACAGAAGAATTCTCATTAAGTTCTTTGTGTTGTGTGCATTCAACTCACAGAGTTGAAACTTTCTTTAGAGAGAGCAGATTTGAAACACTCTTTCTGTGGAATTTGCTAGTGCAGATATCAAACTCTTCGAGGACAATGGCAGAAAAGGTTATATCTTCATATTAAAATTAGACAAAATCATTCTCAGAATACACTTTGTGATGTGTGTGTTCAACTCACAGAGTTTAACATTCCTTTAATCGAGCAGTTAGGAAACACTCTTTTTGTAAAGTCTGCAAGTGGATAATTGGCCGTCTTTGAGCCCTTTGCTGGAAACGGGATTTCCTCATATAATGCTAGACCGAAGAATTCTCAGTAACTTCTTCGTGTTGTTTGTATTCAACTCAGAGATTTGAACCTTCCTTTGGAGAGAGCAGATTTGAAAAACTCTTTTTTTGGTATTTGCAAGTACAGATTTCAAGCGCTCCTAGGCCTATGGCAGAAAAGGAAATATCTTCGTATAAAAACTACACAGAATCATTCTCAACAACTACTTTGTGATGTGAGCGTTCAACTCACAGAGTTTAACCTTTCTTTTCATAGAGCACTTTGGAAAGACTCTGTCTGTAAAGTCTGCAAGTGCTTATTTGGACTTCTTTGAGGCCTTCGTTGGAAACGGGATTTCTTCATATAACGCTGGACAGAAGAATTCTCATTTACTTCTTTGTGTTGTGTGCATTCAACTCACAGAGTTGAAACTTTCTTTAGAGAGAGCAGATTTGAAACACCCTTTCTGTGGAGTTTGCTAGTGCAGATTTCAAACGCTTCGAGGACAATGGTAGAAAAGGATATATCTTCGTATTAAAACTAGACAAAATCATTCTCAGAATACACTTTGTGATGTGTGTGTTCCACTTACAGAGTTTAACCTTTCTTTAATCGAGCAGTTTGGAAACACTCTCTTTGTAAAGTCTCCAAGTGGATAATTGGCCCTCCTTGAGCCCTTCGTTCGAAACGGGATTTCCTCATATAATTCTAGACAGAAGAATTCTCAGTAACTTCTTTGTGTTGTTTGTATTCAACTCACAGATTTCAACCTTCCTTTAGAGAGAGCAGATTTGAAACACTCTTTTTTTGGTATTTGCAAGTGCAGATTCCAAGCGCTTCTAGGCCTATGGCAGAAAAGGAAATATCTTCGTATAAAAACTACACAGAATCATTCTCAACAACTACTTTGTGATGTGTGTGTTCAACTCACAGAGTTTAACCTTTCTTTTCATAGAGCAGTTTGGAAACACTCTGTTTGTAATGTCTGCAAGTGCATATTTGGACTTCTTTGAGGCCTTCGTTGGAAACGGGATTTCTTCATATAATGCTTGACAGAAGAATTCTCAGTCACTTCTTTGTGTTGTGGTATTCAAGTCACAGAGTGGAAACTTCCTTTAGACCGAGTAGTTTTGAAAAACTCTTTCTGTGGAATTTGCAAGTGGAGATTTCAAGCAATTTGACGCCAATCTTTGAAATGGAAATATCTTCGTGTAAAAACTACACAGAATCATTCTCAGGAACTACTTTCTGATGTGTGCGTTCAACACACGGAGTTTAACCTTTCTTTTCATAGAGCAGTTTGGAAACACTCTGTTTGTAAAGTCTGCAAGTGCTTATTTGGACCTCTTTGAGGCCTTCGTTGGAAACGTGATTTCTTCATATAATGCTAGACAGAAGAATTATCAGTCACTTCTTTGTGTTGTGTGTATTCAAGTCACAGAGTTGAACCTTCCTTTAGACAGAGCAGTTTTGAAAAACTCTTTCTGTGGAATTTGCAAGTGGAGATTTCAAGCGATTTGAGGCCAATCTTTGAAATGGAAATCTCTTCGTGTAAAAACTACACAGAATCATTCTCAGAAACTGCTTTGTTATGTGTGCATTCAACTCACAGAGTTTCACCTTTCTTTTCATAGAGCAGTTTGGAAAGACTCTGTCTGTAAAGTCTGCAAGTGAATACTTGGACCCCTTTGAGGCCTTCGTTGGAAGCTTGATTTTTTCACTTACTGCTAGACAGAAGAATTCTCAGTAAATCCTTTGTGTTGTGTGAATTCAACTCACAGAGTTGAACCTTCCTTTATTCAGAGCAGTTTTGAAACACTCTTTTTGTGGAATTTCCACGTGGAGATTTCAAGAGATTTGACGCCTATCTTAGACATGGAAATATCTTCGTATTAAAACTACAGAGTCATTCGCAGAAACTAGTTTGTGATGTGTGCCTTCAACTCACAGAGTTTAACCTTTCTTTTCATAGAGCAGTCTGGAAACACTCTGTTTGTAAAGTCTGCAAGTGGATATTTGGACCTCTTTGAGGACTCAGTTGGAAACGGGATTTCTTCATATAACGCTAGACAGAAGAATTCTCATTAACTTCTTTGTGTTGTGTGCATTCAACTCACAGAGTTGAAACTTTCTTTAGAGAGAGCAGATTTGAAACACTCTTTCTGTGGAATTTGCTAGTGCAGATATCAAACGCTTCGAGGACAATGGCAGAAAAGGTTATATCTTCATATTAAAATTAGACAAAATCATTCTCAGAATACACTTTGTGATGTGTGTGTTCAACTCACAGAGTTTAACATTCCTTTAATCGAGCAGTTAGGAAACAATCTCTTTGTAAAGTCTGCAAGTGGATAATTGGCCGTCTTTGAGCCCTTCGCTGGAAACGGGATTTCCTCATATAATGCTAGACAGAAGAATTCTCAGTAACTTCTTCGTGTTGTTTGTATTCAACTCAGAGATTTGAACCTTCCTTTGGAGAGAGCAGATTTGAGAAACTCTTTTTTTGGTATTTGCAAGTACAGATTTCAAGCGCTCCTAGGCCTATGGCAGAAAAGGAAATATCTTTGTATAAAAACTACACAGAATCATTCTCAACAACTACTTTGTGATGTGAGCGTTCAACTCACAGAGTTTAACCTTTCTTTTCATAGAGCACTTTGGAAAGACTCTGTCTGTAAAGTCTGCAAGTGCTTATTTGGACTTCTTTGAGGCCTTCGTTGGAAACGGGATTTCTTCATATAACGCTAGACAGAAGAATTCTCATTTACTTCTTTGTGTTGTGTGCATTCAACTCACAGAGTTGAAACTTTCTTTAGAGAGAGCAGATTTGAAACACCCTTTCTGTGGAGTTTGCTAGTGCAGATTTCAAACGCTTCGAGGACAATGGTAGAAAAGGATGTATCTTCGTATTAAAACTAGACAAAATCATTCTCAGAATACACTTTGTGATGTGTGTGTTCAACTTACAGAGTTTAACCTTTCTTTAATCGAGCAGTTTGGAAACACTCTCTTTGTAAAGTCTCCAAGTGGATAATTGGCCCTCTTTGAGCCCTTCGTTGGAAACGGGTTTTCCTCATATCATGCTAGACAGAAGAATTCTCAGTAACTTCTTTGTGTTGTTTGTATTCAACTCACAGATTTCAACCTTCCTTTAGAGAGAGCAGATTTGAAACACTCTTTTTTTGGTATTTGCAAGTGCAGATTCCAAGCGCTTCTAGGCCTATGGCAGAAAAGGAAATATCTTCTTATAAAAACAACACAGAATCATTCTCAGGAACTACTTTCTGATGTGTGCGTTCAACACACGGAGTTTAACCTTTCTTTTCATAGAGCAGTTTGGAAACACTCTGTTTGTAAAGTCTGCAAGTGCATATTTGGACCTCTTTGAAGCGTTCGTTGGAAACGTGATTTCTTCATATAATGCTAGGCAGAAGAATTCTCAGTCACTTCTTTGTGTTGTGTGTATCTAAGTCACAGAGTTGAACCTTCCTTTAGACAGAGCAGTTTTGAAAAATTCTTTCTGTGGAATTTGCATGTGGAGATTTCAAGCGATTTGGGGCTAATCTTTGAAATGGAAATATCTTCGTGTAAAAACTACACAGAATCATTCTCAGAAACTGCTTTGTGATGTCTGCGTTCAGCTTACAGAGTTTCACCTTTCTTTTTATAGAACAGTTTGGAAAGACTCTGTCTGTAAAGTCTGCAAGTGAATACTTGGACCCCTTTGTGTACTTCGTTGGAAGAGGGATTTTTTCATTTACTGCTAGACAGAAGAATTCTCAGTAAATCCTTTGTGTTGTGTGAATTCAACTCACAGAGTTGAACCTTCCTTTATTCAGAGCAGTTTTGAAACACTCTTTTTGTGGAATTTCCAGGTGGAGATTTCAAGAGATTTGACGCCTATCTTAGACATGGAAATATCTTCGTATTAAAACTACAGAGTCATTCGCAGAAACTAGTTTGTGATGTGTGCCTTAAACTCACAGAGTTTAACCTTTCTTTTCATAGAGCAGTCTGGAAACACTCTGTTTGTAAAGTCTGCAAGTGGATATTTGGACCTCTTTGAGGACTCAGTTGGAAACGGGATTTCTTCATATAACGCTAGACAGAAGAATTCTCATTAACTTCTTTGTGTTGTGTGCATTCAACTCACAGAGTTGAAACTTTCTTTAGAGAGAGCAGATTTGAAACACTCTTTCTGTGGAATTTGCTAGTGCAGATATCAAACGCTTCGAGGACAATGGCAGAAAAGGTTATATCTTCATATTAAAATTAGACAAAATCATTCTCAGAATACACTTTGTGATGTGTGTGTTCAACTCACAGAGTTTAACATTCCTTTAATCGAGCAGTTAGGAAACACTCTTTTTGTAAAGTCTGCAAGTGGATAATTGGCCGTCTTTGAGCCCTTCGCTGGAAACGGGATTTCCTCATACAATGCTAGACGGAAGAATTCTCAGTAACTTCTTCGTGTTGTTTGTATTCAACTCAGAGATTTGAACCTTCCTTTGGAGAGAGCAGATTTGAAAAACTCTTTTTTTGGTATTTGCAAGTACAGATTTCAAGCGCTCCTAGGCCTATGGCAGAAAAGGAAATATCTTCGTATAAAAACTACACAGAATCATTCTCAACAACTACTTTGTGATGTGAGCGTTCAACTCACAGAGTTTAACCTTTCTTTTCATAGAGCACTTTGGAAAGACTCTGTCTGTAAAGTCTGCAAGTGCTTATTTGGACTTCTTTGAGGCCTTCGTTGGAAACGGGATTTCTTCATATAACGCTGGACAGAAGAATTCTCAGTAACTTCTTTGTGTTGTGTGTATTCAACTCACAGGGTTGAACCTTTCTTTACAGAGAGCAGATTTGAAACATTCTTTCCGTGGAATATGCTAGTGCAGATTTCAAACGCTTCGAGGACAATGGTAGAAAAGGATATATCTTCGTATTAGAACGAGAGAAAATCATTCTCAGAATACACTTTGTGATGTGTGTGTTCCACTTACAGAGTTTAACCTTTCTTTAATCGAGCAGTTTGGAAACACTCTCTTTGTAAAGTCTCCAAGTGGATAATTGGCCCTCTTTGAGCCCTTCGTTGGAAACGGGATTTCCTCATATAATTCTAGACAGAAGAATTCTCAGTAACTTCTTTGTGTTGTTTGTATTCAACTCACAGATTTCAACCTTCCTTTAGAGAGAGCAGATTTGAAACACTCTTTTTTTGGTATTTGCAAGTGCAGATTCCAAGCGATTCTAGGCCTATGGCAGAAAAGGAAATATCTTCGTATAAAAACTACACAGAATCATTCTCAACAACTACTTTGTGATGTGTGTGTTCAACTCACAGAGTTTAACCTTTCTTTTCATAGAGCAGTTTGGAAACACTCTGTTTGTAATGTCTGCAAGTGCATATTTGGACTTCTTTGAGGCCTTCGTTGGAAACGGGATTTCTTCATACAATGCTTGACAGAAGAATTCTCAGTCACTTCTTTGTGTTGTGGTATTCAAGTCACAGAGTTGAAACTTCCTTTAGACAGAGCAGTTTTGAAAATCTCTTTCTGTGGAATTTGCAAGTGGAGATTTCAAGCGATTTGAGGCCAATCTTTGAAATGGAAATATCTTCGTGTAAAAACTACACAGAATCATTCTCAGGAACTACTTTCTGATGTGTGCGTTCAACACACGGAGTTTAACCTTTCTTTTCATAGAGCAGTTTGGAAACACTCTGTTTGTAAAGTCTGCAAGTGCTTATTTGGACCTCTTTGAGGCCTTCGTTGGAAACGTGATTTCTTCATATAATGCTAGACAGAAGAATTATCAGTCACTTCTTTGTGTTGTGTGTATTCAAGTCACAGAGTTGAACCTTCCTTTAGACAGAGCAGTTTTGAAAAACTCTTTCTGTGGAATTTGCAAGTGGAGATTTCAAGCGATTTGAGGCCAATCTTTGAAATGGAAATCTCTTCGTGTAAAAACTACACAGAATCATTCTCAGAAACTGCTTTGTGATGTCTGCGTTCAGCTTACAGAGTTTCACCTTTCTTTTTATAGAGCAGTTTGGAAAGACTCTGTCTGTAAAGTCTGCAAGTGAATACTTGGACCCCTTTGTGTACTTCGTTGGAAGAGGGATTTTTTCATTTACTGCTAGACAGAAGAATTCTCAGTAAATCCTTTGTGTTGTGTGAATTCAACTCACAGAGTTGAACCTTCCTTTATTCAGAGCAGCTTTGAAACACTCTTTTTGTGGAATTTCCAGGTGGAGATTTCAAGAGATTTGACGCCTATCTTAGACATGGAAATATCTTCGTATTAAAACTACAGAGTCATTCGCAGAAACTAGTTTGTGATGTGTGCCTTCAACTCACAGAGTTTAACCTTTCTTTTCATAGAGCAGTCTGGAAACACTCTGTTTGTAAAGTCTGCAAGTGGATATTTGGACCTCTTTGAGGACTCAGTTGGAAACGGGATTTCTTCATATAACGCTAGACAGAAGAATTCTCATTAAGTTCTTTGTGTTGTGTGCATTCAACTCACAGAGTTGAAACTTTCTTTAGAGAGAGCAGATTTGAAACACTCTTTCTGTGGAATTTGCTAGTGCAGATATCAAACGCTTCGAGGACAATGGCAGAAAAGGTTATATCTTCATATTAAAATTAGAGAAAATCATTCTCAGAATACACTTTGTGATGTGTGTGTTCAACTCACAGAGTTTAACATTCCTTTAATCGAGCAGTTAGGAAACACTCTTTTTGTAAAGTCTGCAAGTGGATAATTGGCCGTCTTTGAGCCCTTCGCTGGAAACGGGATTTCCTCATATAATGCTAGACCGAAGAATTCTCAGTAAATTCTTCGTGTTGTTTGTATTCAACTCAGAGATTTGAACCTTCCTTTGCAGAGAGCAGATTTGAAAAACTCTTTTTTTGGTATTTGCAAGTATAGATTTCAAGCGCTCCTAGGCCTATGGCAGAAAAGGAAATATCTTCGTATAAAAACTACACAGAATCATTCTCAACAACTACTTTGTGATATGAGCGTTCAACTCACAGAGTTTAACCTTTCTTTTCATAGAGCACTTTGGAAAGACTCTGTCTGTAAAGTCTGCAAGTGCTTATTTGGACTTCTTTGAGGCCTTCGTTGGAAACGGGATTTCTTCATATAACGCTGGACAGAAGAATTCTCATTTACTTCTTTGTGTTGTGTGCATTCAACTCACAGAGTTGAAACTTTCTTTAGAGAGAGCAGATTGGAAACACCCTTTCTGTGGAGTTTGCTAGTGCAGATTTCAAACGCTTCGAGGACAATGGTAGAAAAGGATATATCTTCATATTAAAACTAGACAAAATCATTCTCAGAATACACTTTGTGATGTGTGTGTTCCACTTACAGAGTTTAACCTTTCTTTAATCGAGCAGTTTGGAAACACTCTCTTTGTAAAGTCTCCAAGTGGATAATTGGCCCTCTTTGAGCCCTTCGTTGGAAACGGGATTTCCTCATATAATGCTAGACAGAAGAATTCTCAGTAACTTCTTTGTGTTGTTTGTATTCAACTCACAGATTTGAACCTTCATTAAGAGAGAGCAGATTTGAAACACTCTTTTTTTGGTATTTGCAAGTGCAGATTCCAAGCGCTTCTAGGCCTATGGCAGAAAAGGAAATATCTTCGTATAAAAACTACACAGAATCATTCTCAACAACTACTTTGTGATGTGTGTGTTCAACTCACAGAGTTTAACCTTTCTTTTCATAGAGCAGTTTGGAAACACTCTGTTTGTAATGTCTGCAAGTGCATATTTGGACTTCTTTGAGGCCTTCGTTGGAAACGGGATTTCTTCATACAATGCTTGACAGAAGAATTCTCAGTCACTTCTTTGTGTTGTGGTATTCAAGTCACAGAGTTGAAACTTCCTTTAGACAGAGCAGTTTTGAAAATCTCTTTCTGTGGAATTTGCAAGTGTAGATTTCAAGCGATTTGAGGCCAATCTTTGAAATGGAAATATCTTCGTGTAAAAACTACACAGAATCATTCTCAGGAACTGCTTTCTGATGTGTGCGTTCAACACACGGAGTTTAACCTTTCTTTTCATAGAGCAGTTTGGAAACACTCTGTTTGTAAAGTCTGCAAGTGCATATTTGAACCTCTTTGAGGCCTTCGTTGGAAACGTGATTTCTTCATATAATGCTAGACAGAAGAATTATCAGTCACTTCTTTGTGTTGTGTGTATTCAAGTCACAGAGTTGAACCTTCCTTTAGACAGAGCAGTTTTGAAAAACTCTTTCTGTGGAATTTGCAAGTGGAGATTTCAAGCGATTTGAGGCCAATCTTTGAAATGGAAATCTCTTCGTGTAAAAACTACACAGAATCATTCTCAGAAACTGCTTTGTGATGTCTGCGTTCAGCTTACAGAGTTTCACCTTTCTTTTTATAGAGCAGTTTGGAAAGACTCTGTCTGTAAAGTCTGCAAGTGAATACTTGGACCCCTTTGTGTACTTCGTTGGAAGAGGGATTTTTTCATTTACTGCTAGACAGAAGAATTCTCAGTAAATCCTTTGTGTTGTGTGAATTCAACTCACAGAGTTGAACCTTCCTTTATTCAGAGCAGCTTTGAAACACTCTTTTTGTGGAATTTCCAGGTGGAGATTTCAAGAGATTTGACGCCTATCTTAGACATGGAAATATCTTCGTATTAAAACTACAGAGTCATTCGCAGAAACTAGTTTGTGATGTGTGCCTTCAACTCACAGAGTTTAACCTTTCTTTTCATAGAGCAGTCTGGAAACACTCTGTTTGTAAAGTCTGCAAGTGGATATTTGGACCTCTTTGAGGACTCAGTTAGAAACGGGATTTCTTCACATAACGCTAGACAGAAGAATTCTCATTAACTTCTTTGTGTTGTGTGCATTCAACTCACAGAGTTGAAACTTTCTTTAGAGAGAGCAGATTTGAAACACTCTTTTTGTGGAATTTGCTAGTGCAGATATCAAACGCTTCGAGGACAATGGCAGAAAAGTTTATATCTTCATATTAAAATTAGACAAAATCATTCTCAGAATACACTTTGTGATGTGTGTGTTCAACTCACAGAATTTAACATTCCTTTAATCGAGCAGTTAGGAAACACTCTCTTTGTAAAGTCTGCAAGTGGATAATTGGCCGTCTTTGAGCCCTTCGGTGGAAACGGGATTTCCTCATATAATGCTAGACAGAAGAATTCTCAGTAACTTCTTTGTGTTGTTTGTATTCAACTCAGAGATTTGAACATTCCCTTGGAGAGAGCAGATTTGAAAAACTCTTTTTTTGGTATTTGCAAGTACAGATTTCAAGCGCTTCTAGGCCTATGGCAGAAAAGGAAATATCTTCGTATAAAAACTACACAGAATCATTCTCAACAACTACTTTGTGATGTGAGCGTTCAACTCACAGAGTTTAACCTTTCTTTTCATAGAGCACTTTGGAAAGACTCTGTCTGTAAAGTCTGCAAGTGCTTATTTGGACTTCTTTGAGGCCTTCGTTGGAAACGGGATTTCTTCATATAACGCTGGACAGAAGAATTCTCATTTACTTCTTTGTGTTGTGTGCATTCAACTCACAGAGTTGAAACTTTCTTTAGAGAGAGCAGATTTGAAACACCCTTTCTGTGGAGTTTGCTAGTGCAGATTTCAAACGCTTCGAGGACAATGGTAGAAAAGGATATATCTTCGTATTAAAACTAGACAAAATCATTCTCAGAATACACTTTGTGATGTGTGTGTTCCACTTACAGAGTTTAACCTTTCTTTAATCGAGCAGTTTGGAAACACTCTCTTTGTAAAGTCTCCAAGTGGATAATTGGCCCTCTTTGAGCCCTTCGTTGGAAACGGGATTTCCTCATATAATTCTAGACAGAAGAATTCTCAGTAACTTCTTTGTGTTGTTTGTATTCAACTCACAGATTTCAACCTTCCTTTAGAGAGAGCAGATTTGAAACACTCTTTTTTTGGTATTTGCAAGTGCAGATTCCAAGCGCTTCTAGGCCTATGGCAGAAAAGGAAATATCTTCGTATAAAAACTACACAGAATCATTCTCAACAACTACTTTGTGATGTGTGAGTTCAACTCACAGAGTTTAACCTTTCTTTTCATAGAGCAGTTTGGAAACACTTTGTTTGTAAAGTCTGCAAGTGCTTATTTGGACTTCTTTGAGGCCTTCGTTGGAAACGGGAGTTCTTCATATAATGCTAGACAGAAGAATTCTCAGTCACTTCTTTGTGTTGTGGTATTCAAGTCACAGAGTTGAAACTTCCTTTAGACCGAGCAGTTTTGAAAAACATTTTCTGTGGAATTTGCAAGTGGAGATTTCAAGCGATTTGAGGCCAATCCTTGAAATGGAAATATCTTCGTGTAAAAACTACACAGAATCATTCTCAGGAACTGCTTTCTGATGTGTGCGTTCAACACACGGAGTTTAACCTTTCTTTTCATAGAGCAGTTTGGAAACACTCTGTTTGTAAAGTCTGCAAGTGCATATTTGGACCTCTTTGAGGCCTTCGTTGGAAACGTGATTTCTTCATATAATGCTAGATAGAAGAATTATCAGTCACTTCTTTGTGTTGTGTGTATTCAAGTCACAGAGTTGAACCTTCCTTTAGACAGAGCAGTTTTGAAAAACTCTTTCTGTGGAATTTGCAAGTGGAGATTTCAAGCGATTTGAGGCCAATCTTTGAAATGGAAATCTCTTCGTGTAAAAACTACACAGAATCATTCTCAGAAACTGCTTTGTGATGTCTGCGTTCAGCTTACAGAGTTTCACCTTTCTTTTTATAGAGCAGTTTGGAAAGACTATGTCTGTAAAGTCTGCAAGTGAATACTTGGACCCCTTTGTGTACTTCGTTGGAAGAGGGATTTTTTCATTTACTGCTAGACAGAAGAATTCTCAGTAAATCCTTTGTGTTGTGTGAATTCAACTCACAGAGTTGAACCTTCCTTTATTCAGAGCAGTTTTGAAACACTCTTTTTGTGGAATTTCCACGTGGAGATTTCAAGAGATTTGACGCCTATCTTAGACATGGAAATATCTTCGTATTAAAACTACAGAGTCATTCGTAGAAACTAGTTTGTGATGTGTGCCTTCAACTCACAGAGTTTAACCTTTCTTTTCATAGAGCTGTTCGGAAACACTCTATTTGTAAAGTCTGCAAGTGGATATTTGGACCTCTTTGAGGCCTTCGTTGGAAACGGGATTTCTTCATATAACGCTAGACAGAAGAATTCTCAGTAACTTCTTTGTGTTGTGTGTATTCAACTCACAGAGTTGAACCTTTCTTTAGAGGGAGCAGAGGTGAAACACTCTTTTTGTGGAATTTGCTAGTGCAGATTTCAAACGCTTCGAAGACAGTGATAGAAAAGGATATATCTTCGTATTAAAACTAGACAAAATCATTCTCAGAATACACTTTGTGATGTGTGTGTTCAACTCACAGAGTTTAACATTCCTTTAATCGAGCAGTTAGGAAACACTCTTTTTGTAAAGTCTGCAAGTGGATAATTGGCCGTCTTTGAGCCCTTCGCTGGAAACGGGATTTCCTCATATAATGCTAGACCGAAGAATTCTCAGTAACTTCTTCGTGTTGTTTGTATTCAACTCAGAGATTTGAACCTTCCTTTGGAGAGAGCAGATTTGAAAAACTCTTTTTTTGGTATTTGCAAGTACAGATTTCAAGCGCTCCTAGGCCTATGGCAGAAAAGGAAATATCTTCGTATAAAAACTACACAGAATCATTCTCAACAACTACTTTGTGATGTGAGCGTTCAACTCACAGAGTTTAACCTTTCTTTTCATAGAGCACTTTGGAAAGACTCTGTCTGTAAAGTCTGCAAGTGCTTATTTGGACTTCTTTGAGGCCTTCGTTGGAAACGGGATTTCTTCATATAACGCTGGACAGAAGAATTCTCATTTACTTCTTTGTGTTGTGTGCATTCAACTCACAGAGTTGAAACTTTCTTTAGAGAGAGCAGATTTGAAACACCCTTTCTGTGGAGTTTGCTAGTGCAGATTTCAAACGCTTCGAGGACAATGGTAGAAAAGGATATATCTTCGTATTAAAACTAGACAAAATCATTCTCAGAAAACACTTTGTGATGTGTGTGTTCCACTTACAGAGTTTAACCTTTCTTTAATCGAGCAGTTTGGAAACACTCTCTTTGTAAAGTCTCCAAGTGGATAATTGGCCCTCTTTGAGCCCTTCGTTGGAAACGGGATTTCCTCATATAATGCTAGACAGAAGAATTCTCAGTAACTTCTTTGTGTTGTTTGTATTCAACTCACAGATTTCAACCTTCCTTTAGAGAGAGCAGATTTGAAACACTGTTTTGTTGGTATTTGCAAGTGCAGATTAAAAGCGCTTCTAGGCCTATGGCAGAAAAGGAAATATCTTCGTATAAAAACTACACAGAATCATTCTCAACAACTACTTTGTGATGTGTGTGTTCAACTCACAGAGTTTAACCTTTCTTTTCATAGAGCAGTTTGGAAACACTCTGTTTGTAATGTCTGCAAGTGCATATTTGGACTTCTTTGAGGCCTTCGTTGGAAACGGGATTTCTTCATATAATGCTTGACAGAAGAATTCACAGTCACTTCTTTGTGTTGTGGTATTCAAGTCACAGAGTTGAAACTTCCTTTAGACCGAGTAGTTTTGAAAAACTCTTTCTGTGGAATTTGCAAGTGGAGATTTCAAGCAATTTGTGGCCAATCTTTGAAATGGAAATATCTTCGTGTAAAAACTACACAGAATCATACTCAGGAACTACTTTCTGATGTGTGCGTTCAACACACGGAGTTTAACCTTTCTTTTCATAGAGCAGTTTGGAAACACTCTGTTTGTAAAGTCTGCAAGTGCATATTTGGACCTCTTTGAAGCCTTAGTTGGAAACGTGATTTCTTCATATAATGCTAGACAGAAGAATTATCAGTCACTTCTTTGTGTTGTGTGTATTCAAGTCACATAGTTGAACCTTCCTTTAGACAGAGCAATTTTGAAAAACTCTTTCTGTGGAATTTGCAAGTGGAGATTTCAAGCGATTTGAGGCCAATCTTTGAAATGGAAATATCTTCGTGTAAAAACTACACAGAATCATTCTCAGAAACTGCTTTGTGATGTCTGCGTTCAGCTTACAGAGTTTCACCTTTCTTTTTATAAAGCAGTTTGGAAAGACTCTGTCTGTAAAGTCTGCAAGTGAATACTTGGACCCCTTTGTGTACTTCGTTGGAAGAGGGATTTTTTCATTTACTGCTAGACAGAAGAATTCTCAGTAAATCCTTTGTGTTGTGTGAATTCAACTCACAGAGTTGAACCTTCCTTTATTCAGAGCAGTTTTGAAACACTCTTTTTGTGGAATTTCCACGTGGAGATTTCAAGAGATTTGACGCCTATCTTAGACATGGAAATATCTTCGTATTAAAACTACAGAGTCATTCGCAGAAACTAGTTTGTGATGTGTGCCTTCAACTCACAGAGTTTAACCTTTCTTTTCATAGAGCAGTCTGGAAACACTCTGTTTGTAAAGTCTGCAAGTGGATATTTGGACCTTTTTGAGGACTCAGTTGGAAACGGGATTTCTTCATATAACGCTAGACAGAAGAATTCTCATTAACTTCTTTGTGTTGTGTGCATTCAACTCACAGAGTTGAAACTTTCTTTAGAGAGAGCAGATTTGAAACACTCTTTTTGTGGAATTTGCTAGTGCAGATATCAAACGCTTCGAGGACAATGGCAGAAAAGTTTATATCTTCATATTAAAATTAGACAAAATCATTCTCAGAATACACTTTGTGATGTGTGTGTTCAACTCACAGAGTTTAACATTCCTTTAATCGAGCAGTTAGGAAACACTCTTTTTGTAAAGTCTGCAAGTGGATAATTGGCCGTCTTTGAGCCCTTCGCTGGAAACGGGATTTCCTCATACAATGCTAGACGGAAGAATTCTCAGTAACTTCTTCGTGTTGTTTGTATTCAACTCAGAGATTTGAACCTTCCTTTGGAGAGAGCAGATTTGAAAAACTCTTTTTTTGGTATTTGCAAGTACAGATTTCAAGCGCTCCTAGGCCTATGGCAGAAAAGGAAATATCTTCGTATAAAAACTACACAGAATCATTCTCAACAACTACTTTGTGATGTGAGCGTTCAACTCACAGAGTTTAACCTTTCTTTTCATAGAGCACTTTGGAAAGACTCTGTCTGTAAAGTCTGCAAGTGCTTATTTGGACTTCTTTGAGGCCTTCGTTGGAAACGGGATTTCTTCATATAACGCTGGACAGAAGAATTCTCATTTACTTCTTTGTGTTGTGTGCATTCAACTCACAGAGTTGAAACTTTCTTTAGAGAGAGCAGATTTGAAACACCCTTTCTGTGGAGTTTGCTAGTGCAGATTTCAAACGCTTCGAGGACAATGGTAGAAAAGGATATATCTTCGTATTAAAACTAGACAAAATCATTCTCAGAAAACACTTTGTGATGTGTGTGTTCAACTCATAGAGTTTAACCTTTCTTTAATTGAGCAGTTTGGAAATACACTCTTTGTAAGTCTGCAAGTGGATAATTGGCCCTCTTTGAGCCCTTCGTTGGAAACGGGATTTCCTCATATAATGCTAGACAGAAGAATTCTCAGTAACTTCTTTGTGTTGTTTGTATTCAACTCACAGATTTGAACCTTCCTTTAGAGAGAACAGATTTCAAACACTCTTTTTTTGGAATTTGCAAGTGCAGATTTCAAGCGCTTCTAGGCCTATGGCAGAAAAGGGAATATCGTCTTATAAAAACTACACAGAATCATTCTCAAAAACTACTTTGTGATGTGCGTGTTCAACTCACAGAGTTTAACCTTTCTTTTCATAGAGCAGTTTGGAAACACTCTGTTTGTAAAGTCTGCAGGTGCTTATGTGGACTTCTTTGAGGCCTTCGTTGGAAACGGGATTTCTTCATATAATGCTAGACAGAAGAATTCTCAGTCACTTCTTTGTGCTGTGGTATTCAAGTCACAGAGTTGAAACTTCCTTTAGACCGAGCAGTTTTGAAAAACTCTTTGTGTGGAATTTGCAAGTGGTGATTTCATGCGATTTGAGGCCAATCTTTGAAATGGAAATATCTTCGTGTAAAAACTACACAGAATCATTCTCAGGAACTGCTTTCTGATGTGTGCGTTCAACACACGGAGTTTAACCTTTCTTTTCATAGAGCAGTTTGGAAACACTCTGTTTGTAAAGTCTGCAAGTGCATATTTGAACCTCTTTGAGGCCTTCGTTGGAAACGTGATTTCTTCATATAATGCTAGACAGAAGAATTATCAGTCACTTCTTTGTGTTGTGTGTATTCAAGTCACAGAGTTGAACCTTCCTTTAGACAGAGCAGTTTTGAAAAACTCTTTGTGTGGAATTTGCAAGTGGAGATTTCAAGCGATTTGAGGCCAATCTTTGAAATGGAAATCTCTTCGTGTAAAAACTACACAGAATCATTCTCAGAAACTGCTTTGTGATGTCTGCGTTCAGCTTACAGAGTTTCACCTTTCTTTTTATAGAGCAGTTTGGAAAGACTCTGTCTGTAAAGTCTGCAAGTGAATACTTGGACCCCTTTGTGTACTTCGTTGGAAGAGGGATTTTTTCATTTACTGCTAGACAGAAGAATTCTCAGTAAATCCTTTGTGTTGTGTGAATTCAACTCACAGAGTTGAACCTTCCCTTATTCAGAGCAGTTTTGAAACACTCTTTTTGTGGAATTTCCAGGTGGAGATTTCAAGAGATTTGACGCCTATCTTAGACATGGAAATATCTTCGTATTAAAACTACAGAGTCATTCGCAGAAACTAGTTTGTGATGTGTGCCTTCAACTCACAGAGTTTAACCTTTCTTTTCATAGAGCAGTCTGGAAACACTCTGTTTGTAAAGTCTGCAAGTGGATATTTGGACCTCTTTGAGGACTCAGTTGGAAACGGGATTTCTTCATATAACTCTAGACAGAAGAATTCTCATTAACTTCTTTGTGTTGTGTGCATTCAACTCACAGAGTTGAAACTTTCTTTAGAGAGAGCAGATTTGAAACACTCTTTCTGTGGAATTTGCTAGTGCAGATATCAAACGCTTCGAGGACGATGGCAGAAAAGGTTATATCTTCATATTAAAATTAGACAAAATCATTCTCAGAACACACTTTGTGATGTGTGTGTTCAACTCACAGAATTTAACATTCCTTTAATCGAGCAGTTAGGAAACACTCTCTTTGTAAAGTCTGCAAGTGGATAATTGGCCGTCTTTGAGCCCTTCAGTGGAAACGGGATTTCCTCATATAATGCTAGACCGAAGAATTCTCAGTAAATTCTTCGTGTTGTTTGTATTCAACTCAGAGATTTGAACCTTCCCTTTGGAGAGAGCAGATTTGAAAAACTCTTTTTTTGGTATTTGCAAGTATAGATTTCAAGCGCTCCTAGGCCTATGGCAGAAAAGGAAATATCTTCGTATAAAAACTACACAGAATCATTCTCAACAACTACTTTGTGATGTGAGCGTTCAACTCACAGAGTTTAACCTTTCTTTTCATAGAGCACTTTGGAAAGACTCTGTCTGTAAAGTCTGCAAGTGCTTATTTGGACTTCTTTGAGGCCTTCGTTGGAAACGGGATTTCTTCATATAACGCTGGACAGAAGAATTCTCATTTACTTCTTTGTGTTGTGTGCATTCAACTCACAGAGTTGAAACTTTCTTTAGAGAGAGCAGATTTGAAACACCCTTTCTGTGGAGTTTGCTAGTGCAGATTTCAAACGCTTCGAGGACAATGGTAGAAAAGGATATATCTTCGTATTAAAACTAGACAAAATCATTCTCAGAAAACACTTTGTGATGTGTGTGTTCAACTCACAGAATTTAACCTTTCTTTAATCGAGCAGTTTGGAAATACACTCTTTGTAAAGTCTGCAAGTGGATAATTGGCCCTCTTTGAGCCCTTCGTTGGAAACGGGATTTCCTCATATAGTGCTAGACAGAAGAATTCTCAGTAACTTCTTTGTGTTGTTTGTATTCAACTCACAGATTTGAACCTTCCTTTAGAGAGAGCAGATTTGAAACACTCTGTTTTTGGAATTTGCAAGTGCAGATTTCAAGCGCTTATAGGCCTATGGCAGAAAAGGAAATATCTTCGTATAAAAACTACACAGAATCATTCTCAACAACTACTTTGTGATGTGTGCGTTCAACTCACAGAGTTTAACCTTTCTTTTTATAGAGCAGTTTGGAAACACTCTGTTTGTAAAGCCTGCAAGTGCTTTTTTAGACTTCATTGAGGCCTTCGTTGGAAACGGGATTTCTTCATATAATGCTAGACAGAAGAATTCTCAGTCACTTCTTTGTGTTGTGGTATTCAAGTCACAGAGTTGAAACTTCCTTTAGACAGAGCAGTTTTGAAAAACTCTTTCTGTGGAATTTGCAAGTGGAGATTTCAAGCGATTTGAGGCTAATCTTTGAATGGAAATATCTTCGTGTAAAAACTACACAGAATCATTCTCAGGAACTACTTTCTGATGTGTGCGTTCAACACACGGAGTTTAACCTTTCTTTTCATAGAGCAGTTTGGAAACACTCTGTTTGTAAAGTCTGCAAGTGCTTATTTGGACCTCTTTGAGGCCTTCGTTGGAAACGTGATTTCTTCATATAATGCTAGACAGAAGAATTATCAGTCACTTCTTTGTGTTGTGTGTATTCAAGTCACATAGTTGAACCTTCCTTTAGACAGAGCAATTTTGAAAAACTCTTTCTGTGGAATTTGCAAGTGGAGATTTCAAGCGATTTGAGGCCAATCTTTGAAATGGAAATATCTTCGTGTAAAAACTACACAGAATCATTCTCAGAAACTGCTTTGTGATGTCTGCGTTCAGCTTACAGAGTTTCACCTTTCTTTTTATAGAGCAGTTTGGAAAGACTCTGTCTGTAAAGTCTGCAAGTGAATACTTGGACCCCTTTGTGTACTTTGTTGGAAGAGGGATTTTTTCATTTACTGCTAGACAGAAGAATTCTCAGTAAATCCTTTGTGTTGTGTGAATTCAACTCACAGAGTTGAACCTTCCTTTATTCAGAGCAGTTTTGAAACACTCTTTTTGTGGAATTTCCAGGTGGAGATTTCAAGAGATTTGACGCCTATCTTAGACATGGAAATATCTTCGTATTAAAACTACAGAGTCATTCGCAGAAACTAGTTTCTGATGTGTGCCTTCAACACACAGAGTTTAACCTTTCTTTTAATAGAGCAGTTTGGAAACACTCTATTTGTAAAGTCTGCAAGTGGATATTTGGACCTCTCTGAGGCCTTCGTTGGAAACGGGATTTCTTCATATAATGCTAGACAGAAGAATTCTCATTAACTTCTTTGTGTTGTGTGCATTCAACTCACAGAGTTGAAACTTTCTTTAGAGAGAGCAGATTTGAAACACTCTTTCTGTGGAATTTGCTAGTGCAGATATCAAACGCTTCGAGGACAATGGCAGAAAAGGTTATATCTTCATATTAAAATTAGACAAAATCATTCTCAGAATACACTTTGTGATGTGTGTGTTCAACTCACAGAGTTTAACATTCCTTTAATCGAGCAGTTAGGAAACACTCTTTTTGTAAAGTCTGCAAGTGGATAATTGGCCGTCTTTGAGCCCTTCGCTGGAAACGGGATTTCCTCATACAATGCTAGACGGAAGAATTCTCAGTAACTTCTTCGTGTTGTTTGTATTCAACTCAGAGATTTGAACCTTCCTTTGGAGAGAGCAGATTTGAAAAACTCTTTTTTTGGTATTTGCAAGTACAGATTTCAAGCGCTCCTAGGCCTATGGCAGAAAAGGAAATATCTTCGTATAAAAACTACACAGAATCATTCTCAACAACTACTTTGTGATGTGAGCGTTCAACTCACAGAGTTTAACCTTTCTTTTCATAGAGCACTTTGGAAAGACTCTGTCTGTAAAGTCTGCAAGTGCTTATTTGGACTTCTTTGAGGCCTTCGTTGGAAACGGGATTTCTTCATATAACGCTGGACAGAAGAATTCTCATTTACTTCTTTGTGTTGTGTGCATTCAACTCACAGAGTTGAAACTTTCTTTAGAGAGAGCAGATTTGAAACACCCTTTCTGTGGAGTTTGCTATTGCAGATTTCAAACGCTTCGAGGACAATGGTAGAAAAGGATATATCTTCGTATTAAAACTAGACAAAATCATTCTCAGAATACACTTTGTGATGTGTGTGTTCCACTTACAGAGTTTAACCTTTCTTTAATCGAGCAGTTAGGAAACACTCTCTTTGTAAAGTCTCCAAGTGGATAATTGGCCCTCTTTGAGCCCTTCGTTGGAAACGGGATTTCCTCATATAATTCTAGACAGAAGAATTCTCAGTAACTTCTTTGTGTTGTTTGTATTCAACTCACAGATTTGAACCTTCCTTTAGAGAGAGCAGATTTGAAACACTCTGTTCTTGGAATTTGCAAGTGCAGATTTCAAGCGCTTCTAGGCCTATGGCAGAAAAGGGAATATCTTCGTATAAAAACTACACAGAATCATTCTCAACAACTACTTTGTGATGTGTGTGTTCAACTCACAGAGTTTAACCTTTCTTTTCATAGAGCAGTTTGGAAACACTCTGTTTGTAATGTCTGCAAGTGCATATTTGGACTTCTTTGAGGCCTTCGTTGGAAACGGGATTTCTTCATATAATGCTTGACAGAAGAATTCTCAGTCACTTCTTTGTGTTGTGGTATTCAAGTCACAGAGTTGAAACTTCCTTTAGACAGAGCAGTTTTGAAAATCTCTTTCTGCGGAATTTGCAAGTGGAGATTTCAAGCGATTTGAGGCCAATCCTTGAAATGGAAATATCTTCGTGTAAAAACTACACAGAATCATTCTCAGGAACTGCTTTCTGATGTGTGCGTTCAACACACGGAGTTTAACCTTTCTTTTCATAGAGCAGTTTGGAAACACTCTGTTTGTAAAGTCTGCAAGTGCATATTTGGACCTCTTTGAGGCCTTCGTTGGAAACGTGATTTCTTCATATAATGCTAGATAGAAGAATTATCAGTCACTTCTTTGTGTTGTGTGTATTCAAGTCACAGAGTTGAACCTTCCTTTAGACAGAGCAGTTTTGAAAAACTCTTTCTGTGGAATTTGCAAGTGGAGATTTCAAGCGATTTGAGGCCAATCTTTGAAATGGAAATCTCTTCGTGTAAAAACTACACAGAATCATTCTCAGAAACTGCTTTGTGATGTCTGCGTTCAGCTTACAGAGTTTCACCTTTCTTTTTATAGAGCAGTTTGGAAAGACTCTGTCTGTAAAGTCTGCAAGTGAATACTTGGACCCCTTTGTGTACTTCGTTGGAAGAGAGATTTTTTCATTTACTGCTAGACAGAAGAATTCTCAGTAAATCCTTTGTGTTGTGTGAATTCAACTCACAGAGTTGAACCTTCCTTTATTCAGAGCAGTTTTGAAACACTCTTTTTGTGGAATTTCCAGGTGGAGATTTCAAGAGATTTGACGCCTATCTTAGACATGGAAATATCTTCGTATTAAAACTACAGAGTCATTCGCAGAAACTAGTTTGTGATGTGTGCCTTCAACTCACAGAGTTTAACCTTTCTTTTCATAGAGCAGTCTGGAAACACTCTGTTTGTAAAGTCTGCAAGTGGATATTTGGACCTCTTTGAGGACTCAGTTGGAAACGGGATTTCTTCATATAACGCTAGACAGAAGAATTCTCATTAACTTCTTTGTGTTGTGTGCATTCAACTCACAGAGTTGAAACTTTCTTTAGAGAGAGCAGATTTGAAACACTCTTTCTGTGGAATTTGCTAGTGCAGATATCAAACGCTTCGAGGACAATGGCAGAAAAGGTTATATCTTCATATTAAAATTAGACAAAATCATTCTCAGAATACACTTTGTGATGTGTGTGTTCAACTCACAGAGTTTAACATTCCTTTAATCGAGCAGTTAGGAAACACTCTTTTTGTAAAGTCTGCAAGTGGATAATTGGCCGTCTTTGAGCCCTTCGCTGGAAACGGGATTTCCTCATACAATGCTAGACGGAAGAATTCTCAGTAACTTCTTCGTGTTGTTTGTATTCAACTCAGAGATTTGAACCTTCCTTTCGAGAGAGCAGATTTGAAAAACTCTTTTTTTGGTATTTGCAAGTACAGATTTCAAGCGCTCCTAGGCCTATGGCAGAAAAGGAAATATCTTCGTATAAAAACTACACAGAATCATTCTCAACAACTACTTTGTGATGTGAGCGTTCAACTCACAGAGTTTAACCTTTCTTTTCATAGAGCACTTTGGAAAGACTCTGTCTGTAAAGTCTGCAAGTGCTTATTTGGACTTCTTTGAGGCCTTCGTTGGAAACGGGATTTCTTCATATAACGCTGGACAGAAGAATTCTCATTAACTTCTTTGTGTTGTGTGCATTCAACTCACAGAGTTGAAACTTTCTTTAGAGAGAGCAGATTTGAAACACTCTTTCTGTGGAATTTGCTAGTGCAGATTTCAAACGCTTCGAGGACAATGGTAGAAAAGGATATATCTTCGTATTAAAACTAGATAAAATCATTCTCAGAATACACTTTGTGATGTGTGTGTTCCACTTACAGAGTTTAACCTTTCTTTAATCGAGCAGTTTGGAAACACTCTCTTTGTAAAGTCTCCAAGTGGATAATTGGCCCTCTTTGAGCCCTTCGTTGGAAACGGGATTTCCTCATATAATTCTAGACAGAAGAATTCTCAGTAACTTCTTTGTGTTGTTTGTATTCAACTCACAGATTTGAACCTTCATTAAGAGAGAGCAGATTTGTAACACTCTTTTTTTGGTATTTGCAAGTGCAGATTCCAAGCGCTTCTAGGCCTATGGCAGAAAAGGAAATATCTTCGTATAAAAACTACACAGAATCGTTCTCAACAACTACTTTGTGATGTGTGCGTTCAACTCACACAGATTACCCTTTCTTTTCATAGAGCAGTTTGGAAACACCCTGTTTGTAAAGTCTGCAGGTGCTTATTTGGACTTCTTTGAGGCCTTAGTTGGAAACGGGATTTCTTCATATAATGCTAGACAGAAGAATTCACAGTCACTTCTTTGTGTTGTGGTATTCAAGTCACAGAGTTGAAACTTCCTTTAGACTGAGTAGTTTTGAAAAACTCTTTCTGTGGAATTTGCAAGTGGAGATTTCAAGCAATTTGAGGCCAATCTTTGAAATGGAAATATCTTCGTGTAAAAACTACACAGAATCATTCACAGAAACTGCTTTGTTATGTGTGCGTTCAACTCACAGAGTTTCACCTTTCTTTTCATACAGCAGTTTGGAAAGACTCTGTCTGTAAAGTCTGCAAGTGAATACTTGGACGCCTCTGAGGCCTTCGTTGGAAGTGGGATTTTTTCACTTACTGCTAGACAGAAGAATTCTCAGTAACTTCTTTCTGTTGTGTGTATTCAAGTCACAGAGTTGAACCTTCCTTTAGACAGAGCAGTTTTGAAAAACTCTTTCTGTGGAATTTGCAAGTGGAGATTTCAAGCGATTTGAGGCCAATCTTTGAAATGGAAATCTCTTCGTGTAAAAACTACACAGAGTCATTCGCAGAAACTAGTTTCTGATGTGTGCCTTCAACACACAGAGTTTAACCTTTCTTTTAATAGAGCAGTTTGGAAACACTCTATTTGTAAAGTCTGCAAGTGGATATTTGGACCTCTCTGAGGCCTTCGTTGGAAACGGGATTTCTTCATATAATGCTAGACAGAAGAATTCTCATTAACTTCTTTGTGTTGTGTGCATTCAACTCACAGAGTTGAAACTTTCTTTAGAGAGAGCAGATTTGAAACACTCTTTCTGTGGAATTTGCTAGTGCAGATATCAAACGCTTCGAGGACAATGGCAGAAAAGGTTATATCTTCATATTAAAATTAGACAAAATCATTCTCAGAATACACTTTGTGATGTGTGTGTTCAACTCACAGAGTTTAACATTCCTTTAATCGAGCAGTTAGGAAACACTCTTTTTGTAAAGTCTGCAAGTGGATAATTGGCCGTCTTTGAGCCCTTCGCTGGAAACGGGATTTCCTCATACAATGCTAGACGGAAGAATTCTCAGTAACTTCTTCGTGTTGTTTGTATTCAACTCAGAGATTTGAACCTTCCTTTGGAGAGAGCAGATTTGAAAAACTCTTTTTTTGGTATTTGCAAGTACAGATTTCAAGCGCTCCTAGGCCTATGGCAGAAAAGGAAATATCTTCGTATAAAAACTACACAGAATCATTCTCAACAACTACTTTGTGATGTGAGCGTTTAACTCACAGAGTTTAACCTTTCTTTTCATAGAGCACTTTGGAAAGACTCTGTCTGTAAAGTCTGTAAGTGCTTATTTGGACTTCTTTGAGGCCTTCGTTGGAAACGGGATTTCTTCATATAACGCTAGACAGA
>NC_000010.11:41545820-41593521 GCF_000001405.40 Homo sapiens
ATCATTGTCAGAAACTACTTTGTGATGTGTGCGTTCAACTCACAGGGTTTAACCTTTCTTTTCATAGAGCAGTTTGGAAACACTCTGGTTGTAAAGTCTGCAAGTGCATATTTGGACTTCTTTGAGGCCTTCGTTGGAAATGGGATTTCTTCATATAATGCCAAACAGAAGAATTCTCAGTCACCTCTTTGTGTTGTGTGTATTGATCTCACAGATTTGAACCTTCCTTTAGACAGAGCGGTTTTGGAAAACTCTTTCTGTGGAATTTGCAAGTGGGGATTTCAAGTGATTTGAGGCCAATCTTTGAAATGGAAATATCTTCGTGTAAAATTTGACAGAATCATTCTCAGAAACTACTTTGTGATGTGTGCGTTCAGCTCACAGAGTTTCACCTTTCTTTTCATAGGTCAGTTTGGAAAGACTCTCTCTGTAATGTCTGCTGCTGAATACTTGGACCCCTTTGAGGTCTTCGTTGGAAGCGGAATTTTTTCATATACTGCTGGACAGAATAATTCTCAGTAAATCTTTGTTCTGTGTGTATTCAACACACAGAGTTGAACCTTCCTTTATCCAGAGCAGTTTTGAAACACTCTTTCTGTGGAATTTGCAAGTGGAGATTTCAAGTGATTTGAGGCCAATCTTTGAAATGGAAATATCTTCGTGTAAAATTATACAGAATCATTGTCAGAAACTAGTTTGTGATGTGTGCGTTCAGCTCACAGAGTTTCACCTTTCTTTTCATAGAGCAGTTTGTAAAGACTCTGTTTGTAATGTCTGCTAGTGAATACTTGGACCCCTTTGAGGCCTTCGTTAGAAGCGGAATTTTTTCATATACTGCTAGACAGAAGAATTCTCACTAACTTCTTTTTGTTGTGTGTATTCAACTCACAGGGTTGAACCTTTCTTTACAGAGAGCAGATTTGAAACATTCTTTCCGTGGAATTTGCTAGTGCAGATTTCAAACGCTTCGAGGACAATGGTAGAAAAGGGTATATCTTCGTATTAGAACGAGAGAAAATCATTCTCAGAAAACACTTTGTAATGTGTGCGTTCAACTCACAGAGTTTAACCTTTATTTTAATCGAGCAGTTTGGAAACACTGTCTTTGTAATGTCTGCAAGTGGTTAATTGGCCCTCTTTGAGCCCTTCTTTGGAAACGAGATTTCCTCATATAATGCTAGACAGAAGAATTCTCATTAACTTCTTTGTGTTGATTGTATTCAACTCACGGATTTGAACCTTCCTTTAGAGAGAGCAGATTTGAAACACTCTTTTTTTGGAATTTGCAAGTGCAGACTTCAAGCGCTTCTGGGCCTATGGCAGAAAAGGAAATATCTTCGTATAAAAACTACACAGAATCATTCTCAAGAACCACTTTGTGATGTGTGCGTTCAACTCACAGATTTTAACCTTTCTTTTAATCCAGCGGTTTGGAATCACTCTGTTTGTAAAGTCTGCAAGTGCATATTTGGACTTCTTTGAGGCCTTCGTTGGAAACGGGATTTCTTCATATAATGCTAGACAGAAGAATTCTCAGTCACCTCTTTGTGTTGTGTGTATTGATCTCACAGATTTGAACCTTCCTTTAGACAGAGCAGTTTTGAAAAACTCTTTCTGTGGAATTTGCAAGTGGAGATTTCAAGAGATTTGACGCCATTCTTTGAAATGGAAATATCTTCGTGTAAAATTAGACAGAATCATTCTCAGAAACTACTTTGTGATGTGTGCGTTCAGCTCACCGAGTTTCACCTTTCTTTTCATAGATCAGTTTGGAAAGACTCTCTCTGTAATGTCTGCTACTGAATACTTGGACCCCTTTGAGGTCTTCGTTGGAAGCGGAATTTTTTCATATACTGCTGGACAGAAGAATTCTCAGTAAATCTTTGTGCTGTGTGTATTCAACACACAGAGTTGAACCATCCTTTATCCTGAGCAGTTTTGAAACACTCTTTGTGTGGAATTTGCAAGTGGAGAACTCAAGCGATTTGAGGCCAATCTTAGTCATGGAAATACCTTTCGTAGTAAAACTACACAGAGTCATTTGCAGAAACTAGTTTCTGATGTGAGCCTTCAACTCACAGAATTTAACCTTTCTTTTAATAGAGCAGTTTGGAAAGACTCCATTTGTAAAGTCTGCAAGTGGATATTTGGACCTCTCTGAGGCCTTCGTTGGAAACGGGATTTCTTCATATAACGCTAGACAGAAGAATTCTCACTAACTTCTTTGTGTTGTGTGTATTCAACTCACAGGGTTGAACCTTTCTTTACAGAGAGCAGATTTGAAACATTCTTTCCGTGGAATTTGCTAGTGCAGATTTCAAACGCTTCGAGGACAATGGTAGAAAAGGATATATCTTCGTATTAGAACGAGAGAAAATCATTCTCAGAAAACACTTTGTAATGTGTGCGTTCAACTCACAGAGTTTAACCTTTCTTTTAACTGAGCAGTTTGGAAACACTGTCTTTGTAATGTATGTAAGTGGTTAATTGGCCCTCTTTGAGCCCTTCTTTGGAAACGAGATTTCCTCATATAATGCTAGACAGAAGAATTCTCAGTAACTTCTTTGTGTTGTTTGTATTCAACTCACGGATTTGAACCTTCCTTTAGAGAGAGCAGATTTGAAACACTCTTTTTTTGGAATTTGCAAGTGCAGACTTCAAGCGCTTCTGGGCCTATGGCAGAAAAGGAAATATCTTCGTATAAAAACTACACAGAATCATTCTCAAGAACTACTTTGTGATGTGCGCATTCAACTCACAGATTTTAACCTTTCTTTTAATCGAACAGTTTGGAAACACTCTGTTTGTAAAGTCTGCAAGTGTATATTTGGACTTCTTTGAGGCCTTCGTTGGGAACGGGAGTTTTTCATATGCTGCTAGACAGAAGAATTCTCAGTCACCTCTTTGTGTTGTGTGTATTGATCTCACAGATTTGAGCCTTCCTTTAGACAGAGCAGTTTTGAAAATCTCTTTCTGTGGAATTAGCAAGTGGAGATTTCAAGTGATTTGAGGCCAATCTTTGAAATGGAAATATCTTCGTGTAAAATTAGACAGAATCATTGTCAGAAACTACTTTGTGATGTGTACGTTCAGCTCACAGAGTTTCACCTTTCTTTTCATAGAGCAGTTTGGAAAGACTCTGTCTGTAATGTCTGCTAGTGAATATTTGGACCCCTTTGAGGCCTTCGTTGGAAGCAGAATTCTTTCATATACTGATAGACAGAAAAATTCTCAGTGAAACTTTGTGCTGTGTGTATTCAACACACAGAGTTGAACGTTCCTTTATCCAGAGCAGTTTTGAAACACTCTTTCTGTGGAATTTGCAAGTGGAGATTTCAAGCGATTTGACGCCAATCTTAGTCATGGAAATATCTTCGTAGTAAAACTACACAGAGTCATTCGCAGAAACTAGTTTCTGATGTGTGCCTTCAACTCACAGAATTTAACCTTTCTTGTAATAGAGCGGTTTGGAAACACTCTATTTGTAAAGTCTGCAAGTGGACATTTGGATCTCTCTGAGGCCTTCGTTGGAAACGGGATTTCTTCATATATCGCTAGACAGAAGAATTCTCAGTAACTTCTTTGTGTTGTGTGTATTCAACTCACAGGGTTGAACCTTTCTTTACAGAGAGCAAATTTGAAACATTCTTTCCATGGAATTTGCTAGTGCAGATTTCAAACGCTTCGAGGACAATGGTAGAAAAGGATATATCTTCGTATTAGAACGAGAGAAAATCATTCTCAGAAAACACTTTGTAATGTGTGCGTTCAACTCACAGAGTTTAACCTTTCTTTTAATCGAGCAGTTTGGAAACACTGTCTTTGTAATGTCTGCAAGTGGTTAATTGGCCCTCTTTGAGCCCGTCTTTGGAAACGAGATTTCCTCACATAAGGCTAGACAGAAGAATTCTCAGTAACTTCTTTGTGTTGTTTGTATTCAACTCACGGATTTGAACCTTCCTTTAGAGAGATCAGATTTGAAACACTCTTTTTTTGGAATTTGCAAGTGCAGACTTCAAGCGCTTCTGGGCCTATGGCACAAAAGGAAATATCTTCGTATAAAAACTACACAGAATCATTCTCAAGAACCACTTTGTGATGTGTGCGTTCAACTCACAGATTTTAACCTTTCTTTTAATCGAGCAGTTTGGAAACACTCTGTTTGTAAAGTCTGCAAGTGCGTATTTGGACTTCTTTGAGGCCTTCATTGGAAACGGGATTTCTTCATATAATGCTAGACAGAAGAATTCTCAGTCACCTCTTTGTGTTGTGTGTATTGATCTCACAGATTTGAACCTTCCTTTAGACAGAGCAGTTTTGAAAAACTCTTTCTGTGGAATTTGGAAGTGGAGATTTCAAGTGATTTGAGGCCAATCTTTGAAATGGAAATATCTTCGTGTAAAATTAGACAGAATCATTCTCAGAAACTACTTTGTGATGTGTGCGTTCAACTCACAGGGTTTAACCTTTCTTTTCATAGAGCAGTTTGGAAACACTCTGGTTGTAAAGTCTGCAAGTGCATATTTGGACTTCTTTGAGGCCTTCGTTGGAAATGGGATTTCTTCATATAATGCCAAACAGAAGAATTCTCAGTCACCTCTTTGTGTTGTGTGTATTCATCTCACAGATTTGAACCTTCCTTTAGAGAGAGTAGTTTTGAAAAACTCTTTCTGTGGAAATCGGAAGTGGAGATTTCATGTGATTTGAGGCCAATCTTTGAAATGGAAATATCTTCGTGTAAAATTAGACAGAATCATTGTCAGAAACTACTTTGTGATGTGTGCGTTCAGCTCACAGAGTTTCACCTTTCTTTTCATAGAGCAGTTTGGAAAGACTCTGTCTGTAATGTCTGCTAGTGAATACTTGGACCCCTTTGAGGCCTTCGTTGGAAGCGGAATTTTTTCATATACTGCTAGACAGAAGAATTCTCAGTAAATCTTTGTGCTGTGTGTATTCAACACACAGAGTTGAACCATCCTTTATCCTGAGCAGTTTTGAAACACTCATTGTGTGGAAGTTGCAAGTGGAGAATTCAAGCGATTTGAGGCCAATCTTAGACATGGAAATATCTTCGTAGTAAAACTACACAGAGTCATTCGCAGAAACTAGTTTCTGATGTGTGCCTTCAACTCACAGAATTTAACCTTTCTTGTAATAGAGCGGTTTGGAAACACTCTATTTGTAAAGTCTGCAAGTGGACATTTGGATCTCTCTGAGGCCTTCGTTGGAAACGGGATTTCTTCATATAACGCTAGACAGAAGAATTCTCAGTAACTTCTTTGTGTTGTGTGTATTCAACTCACAGGGTTGAACCTTTCTTTACAGAGAGCAGATTTGAAACATTCTTTCCGTGGAATTTGCTAGTGCAGATTTCAAACGCTTTGAGGACAATGGTGGAAAGGGATATATCTTCGTATTAGAACGAGAGAAAATCATTCTCAGAAAACACTTTGTAATGTGTGCGTTCAACTCACAGAGTTTAACCTTTCTTTTAATCGAGCAGTTTGGAAACACTGTCTTTGTAATGTCTGCAAGTGGTTAATTGGCCCTCTTTGAGCCCGTCTTTGGAAACGAGATTTCCTCACATAAGGCTAGACAGAAGAATTCTCAGTAACTTCTTTGTGTTGTTTGTATTCAACTCACGGATTTGAACCTTCCTTTAGAGAGATCAGATTTGAAACACTCTTTTTTTGGAATTTGCAAGTGCAGACTTCAAGCGCTTCTGGGCCTATGGCACAAAAGGAAATATCTTCGTATAAAAACTACACAGAATCATTCTCAAGAACCACTTTGTGATGTGTGCGTTCAACTCACAGATTTTAACCTTTCTTTTAATCGAGCAGTTTGGAAACACTCTGTTTGTAAAGTCTGCAAGTGCGTATTTGGACTTCTTTGAGGCCTTCATTGGAAACGGGATTTCTTCATATAATGCTAGACAGAAGAATTCTCAGTCACCTCTTTGTGTTGTGTGTATTGATCTCACAGATTTGAACCTTCCTTTAGACAGAGTAGTTTTGAAAAACTATTTCTGTGGAATTTGCAAGTGGAGATTTCATGTGATTTGAGGTCAATCTTTGAAATGGAAATATCTTCGTGTAAAATTAGACAGAATCATTCTCAGAAACTACTTTGTGATGTGTGCGTTCAGCTCACAGAGTTTCACCTTTCTTTTCATAGATCAGTTTGGAAAGACTCTCTGTGTAATGTCTGCTACTGAATACTTGGACCCCTTTGAGGTCTTCGTTGGAAGCGGAATTTTTTCATATACTGCTGGACAGAAGAATTCTCAGTAAATCTTTTTGCTGTGTGTATTCAACACACAGAGTTGAACCATCCTTTATCCTGAGCAGTTTTGAAACACTCTTTGTGTGGAATTTGCAAGTGGAGAATTCAAGCGATTTGAGGCCAATCTTAGACATGGAAATATCTTCGTAGTAAAACTACACAGAGTCATTCGCAGAAACTAGTTTCTGATGTGTGCCTTCAACACACAGAGTTTAACCTTTCTTTTAATAGAGCAGTTTGGAAACACTCTATTTGTAAAGTCTGCAAGTGGATATTTGGACCTCTCTGAGGCCTTCGTTGGAAACGGGATTTCTTCATATAATGCTAGACAGAAGAATTCTCAGTAACTTCTTTGTGTTGTGTGTATTCAACTCACAGGGTGGAACCTTTCTTTACAGAGAGCAGATTTGAAACATTCTTTCCGTGGAATTTGCTAGTGCAGATTTCAAACGCTTCGAGGACAATTGTAGAAAAGGATATATCTTCGTATTAGAACGAGAGAAAATCATTCTCAGAAAACACTTTGTAATGTGTGCGTTCAACTCACAGAGTTTAACCTTTCTTTTAATCGAGCAGTTTGGAAACACTGTCTTTGTAATGTCAGCAAGTCGTTAATTGGCCCTCTTTGAGCCCGTCTTTGGAAACGAGATTTCCTCATATAATGCTAGACAGAAGAATTCTCAGTAACTTCTTTGTGTTGTTTGTATTCAACTCACGGATTTGAACCTTCCTTTAGAGAGAGCAGATTTGAAACACTCTTTTTTTGGAATTTGCAAGGGCAGATTTCAAGCGCTTCTAGGCCTATGGCAGAAAAGGAAATATCTTCGTATAAAAACTACACAGAATCATTCTCAAGAACGACTTTGTGATGTGTGCGTTCAACTCACAGATTTTAACCTTTCTTTTAATCGAGCAGTTTGGAAACACTCTGTTTGTAAAGTCTGCAAGTGCATATTTGGACTTCTTTGAGGCCTTCATTGGAAACGGGATTTCTTCATATAATGCTAGACAGAAGAATTCTCAGTCACCTCTTTGTGTTGTGTGTATTGATCTCACAGATTTGAACCTTCCTTTAGACAGAGTAGTTTTGAAAAACTATTTCTGTGGAATTTGCAAATGGAGATTTCATGTGATTTGAGGCCAATCTTTGAAATGGAAATATCTTCGTGTAAAATTAGACAGAATCATTGTCAGAAACTACTTTGTGATGTGTGCGTTCAGCTCACAGAGTTTCACCTTTCTTTTCATAGAGCAGTTTGGAAAGACTCTGTTTGTAATGTCTGCTAGTGAATACTTGGACCCCTTTGAGGCCTTCGTTGGAAGCGGAATTTTTTCATATACTGCTAGACAGAAGAATTCTCAGTAAATCTTTTTGCTGTGTGTATTCAACACACAGAGTTGAACCATCCTTTATCCTGAGCAGTTTTGAAACACTCTTTCTGTGGAATTTGCAAGTGGAGAATTCAAGCGATTTGAGGCCAATCTTAGACATGGAAATATCTTCGTAGTAAAACTACACAGAGTCATTCGCAGAAACTAGTTTCTGATGTGTGCCTTCAACTCACAGAGTTTAACCTTTCTTTTAATAGAGCAGTTTGGAAACACTCTATTTGTAAAGTCTGCAGGTGGATATTTGGACCTCTCTGAGGCCTTCGTTGGAAACGGGATTTCTTCATATAATGCTAGACAGAAGAATTCTCACTAACTTCTTTGTGTTGTGTGTATTCAACTCACAGGGTTGAACCTTTCTTTACAGAGAGCAGATTTGAAACATTCTTTCCGTGGAATTTGCTAGTACAGATTTCAAACGCTTTGAGGACAATGGTAGAAAAGGATATATCTTCGTATTAGAACGAGAGAAAATCATTCTCAGAAAACACTTTGTAATGTGTGCGTTCAACTCACAGAGTTTAACCTTTCTTTTAATCGAGCAGTTTGCAAACACTCTCTTTGTAATGTCTGCAAGTTGTTAATTGGCCCTCTTTGAGCCCTTCTTTGGAAACGAGATTTCCTCACATAAGGCTTGACAGAAGAATTCTCAGTAACTTCTTTGTGTTGTTTGTATTCAACTCACGGATTTGAACCTTCCTTTAGAGAGAGCAGATTTGATACACACTTTTTTTGGAATTTGCAAGTGCAGACTTCAAGCGCTTCTGGGCCTATGGCAGAAAAGGAAATATCTTCGTATAAAAACTACACAGAATCATTCTCAAGAACGACTTTGTGATGTGTGCGTTCAACTCACAGATTTTAACCTTTCTTTTAATCGAGCAGTTTGGAAACACTCTGTTTGTAAAGTCTGCAAGTGCATATTTGGACTTCTTTGAGGCCTTCATTGGAAACGGGATTCCTTCATATAATGCTAGACAGAAGAATTCTCAGTCACCTCTTTGTGTTGTGTGTATCGATCTCACAGATTTGAACCTTCCTTTAGACAGGGCAGTTTTGAAAAACTCTTTCTGTGGAATTTGCAAGTGGAGATTTCAAGTGATTTGAGGCCAATCCTTGAAATGGAAATATCTTCGTGTAAAATTAGACAGAATCATTGTCAGAAACTACTTTGTGATGTGTGCTTTCAGCTCACAGAGTTTCACCTTTCTTTTCATAGAGCAGTTTGGAAAGACTCTGTTTGTAATGTCTGCTAGTGAATACCTGGACCCCTTTGAGGCCTTCGTTAGAAGCGGAATTTTTTCATATACTGCTAGACAGAAGAATTCTCAGTAAATATTTGTGCTGTGTGTATTCAACACACAGAGTTGAACCATCCTTTATCCTGAGCAGTTTTGAAACACTCTTTGTGTGGAATTTGCAAGTGGAGAATTCAAGCGATTTGAGGCCAATCTTAGACATGGAAATATCTTCGTAGTAAAACTACACAGAGTCATTCGCAGAAACTAGTTTCTGATGTGTGCCTACAACTCACAGAGTTTAATCTTTCTTTTAATAGAGCAGTTTGGAAACACTCCATTTGTAAAGTCTGCAAGTGGTTATTTGGACCTCTCTGAGGCCTTCGTTGGAAACGGGATTTCTTCATATAACGCTAGACAGAAGAATTCTCAGTAACTTCTTTGTGTTGTGTGTATTCAACTCACAGGGTTGAACCTTTCTTTACAGAGAGCAGATTTGAAACATTCTTTCCGTGGAATTTGCTAGTGCAGATTTCAAATGCTTCGAGGACAATGGTAGAAAGGGATATATCTTCGTATTAGAACGAGAGAAAATCATTCTCAGAAAACACTTTGTAATGTGTGCGTTCAACTCACAGAGTTTAACCTTTCTTTTAATCGAGCAGTTTGGAAACACTGTCTTTTTAATGTCTGCAAGTCGTTAATTGGCCCTCTTTGAGCCCGTCTTTGGAAACGAGATTTCCTCATATAATGCTAGACAGAAGAATTCTCAGTAACTTCTTTGTGTTGTTTGTATTCAACTCACGGATTTGAACCTTCCTTTAGAGAGAGCAGATTTGAAACACTCTTTTTTTGGAATTTGCAAGTGCAGACTTCAAGCGCTTCTGGGCCTATGGCAGAAAAGGAAATATCTTCGTATAAAAACTACACAGAATCATTCTCAAGAGCCACTTTGTGATGTGTGCGTTCAACTCACGGATTTTAACCTTTCTTTTAATCGAGCAGTTTGGAAACACTCTGTTTGTAAAGTCTGCATGTGCATATTTGAACTTCTTTGAGGCCTTCATTGGAAACGGGATTTCTTCATATAATGCTAGACAGAAGAATTCTCAGTCACCTCTTTGTGTTGTGTGTATTGATCTCACAGATTTGAACCTTCCTTTAGACAGAGCAGTTTTGAAAAACTCTTTCTGTGGAATTTGCAAGTGGAGATTTCAAGTGATTTGAGGGCAATCTTTGAAATGGAAATATCTTCGTGTAAAATTAGACAGAATCATTGTCAGAAACTACTTTGTGATGTGTGCGTTCAGCTCACAGAGTTTCACCTTTCTTTTCATAGAGCAGTTTGGAAAGACTCTGTTTGTAATGTCTGCTAGTGAATACTTGGACCCCTTTGAGGCCTTCGTTAGAAGCGGAATTTTTTCATATACTGCTAGACAGAAGAATTCTCAGTAAATCTTTGTGCTGTGTGTATTCAACACACAGAGTTGAACCTTCCTTTATCCAGAGCAGTTTTGAAACACTCTTTCTGTGGAATTTGCAAGTGGAGATTTCAAGCGATTTGACGCCAATCTTAGTCATGGAAATACCTTCGTAGTAAAACTACACAGAGTCTTTCGCAGAAACTACATTCTGATGTGTGCCTTCAACTCACAGAATTTAACCTTTCTTTTAATAGAGCAGTTTGTAAACACTCCATTTGTAAAGTCTGCAAGTGGATAATTGGACCTCTCTGAGTCCTTCGTTGGAAACGGGATTTCTTCATATAACGCTAGACAGAAGAATTCTCAGTAACTTCTTTCTGTTGTGTGTATTCAACTCACAGGGTTGAACCTTTCTTTACAGAGAGCAGATTTGAAACATTCTTTCCGTGGAATTTGCTAGTGCAGATTTCAAACGCTTCGAGGACAATGGTAGAAAATGATATATCTTCGTATTAGAACGAGAGAAAATCATTCTCAGAAAACACTTTGTAATGTGAGCGTTCAACTCACAGAGTTTAACCTTTCTTTTAATCGAGCAGTTTGGAAACACTCTCTTTGTAATGTCTACAAGTGGTTAATTGGCCCTCTTTGAGCCCTTCTTTGGAAACGAGATTTCCTCATATAATGCTAGACAGAAGAATTCTCAGTAACTTCTTTGTGTTGTTTGTATTCAACTCACGGATTTGAACCTTCCTTTAGAGAGAGCAGATTTGAAACACTCTTTTTTTGGAATTTGCAAGTGCAGACTTCAAGCGCTTCTGGGCCTATGGCAGAAAAGGAAATATCTTCGTATAAAAACTACACAGAATCATTCTCAGAAACTACTTTGTGATGTGTGCGTTCAACTCACAGGGTTTAACCTTTCTTTTCATAGAGCAGTTTGGAAACACTCTGGTTGTAAAGTCTGCAAGTGCATATTTGGACTTCTTTGAGGCCTTCGTTGGAAATGGGATTTCTTCATATAACGCCAGACAGAATAATTCTCAGTCACCTCTTTGTGTTGTGTGTATTGATCTCACAGATTTGAACCTTCCTTTAGACAGAGTAGTTTTGAAAAACTCTTTCTGTGGAATTTGCAAGTGGAGATTTCATGTGATTTGTCGCCAATCTTTGAAATGGAAATATCTTCGTGTAAAATTAGACAGAATCATTGTCAGAAACTACTTTGTGATGTGTGCTTTCAGCTCACAGAGTTTCACCTTTCTTTTCATAGAGCAGTTTGGAAAGACTCTGTTTGTAATGTCTGCTAGTGAATACCTGGACCCCTTTGAGGCCTTCGTTAGAAGCGGAATTTTTTCATATACTGCTAGACAGAAGAATTCTCAGTAAATATTTGTGCTGTGTGTATTCAACACACAGAGTTGAACCATCCTTTATCCTGAGCAGTTTTGAAACACTCTTTGTGTGGAATTTGCAAGTGGAGAATTCAAGCGATTTGAGGCCAATCTTAGACATGGAAATATCTTCGTAGTAAAACTACACAGAGTCATTCGCAGAAACTAGTTTCTGATGTGTGCCTTCAACTCACAGAATTTAACCTTTCTTTTAATAGAGCAGTTTGGAAACACTACATTTGGAAAGTCTGCAAGTGGTTATTTGGACCTCTCTGAGGCCTTCGTTGGAAACGGGATTTCTTCATATAACGCTAGACAGAAGAATTCTCAGTAACTTCTTTGTGTTGTGTGTATTCAACTCACAGGGTTGAACCTTTCTTTACAGAGAGCAGATTTGAAACATTCTTTCCGTGGAATTTGCTAGTGCAGATTCCAAACGCTTCGAGGACAATGGTAGAAAAGGATATATCTTCGTATTAGAACGAGAGAAAATCATTCTCAGAAAACACTTTGTAATGTGTGCGTTCAACTCACAGAGTTTAACCTTTCTTTTAATCGAGCAGTTTGGAAACACTGTCTTTGTAATGTCTGCAAGTGGTTAATTGGCCCTCTTTGAGCCCTTCTTTGGAAACGAGATTTCCTCATATAATGCTAGACAGAAGAATTCTCAGTAACTTCTTTGTGTTGTTTGTATTCAACTCACGGATTTGAACCTTCCTTTAGAGAGAGCAGATTTGAAACACTCTTTTTTTGGAATTTGCAAGTGCAGACTTCAAGCGCTTCTGGGCCTATGGCAGAAAAGGAAATATCTTCGTATAAAAACTACACAGAATCATTCTCAAGAACTACTTTGTGATGTGTGCGTTCAACTCACAGATTTTAACCTTTCTTTTAATCGAGCAGTTTGGAAACACTCTGTTTGTAAAGTCTGCAAGTGCATATTTGGACTTTTTTGAGGCCTTCGTTGGAAACGGGATTTCTTCATATACTGCTAGACAGAAGAATTCTCAGTCACTTCTTTGTGTTGTGTGTAGTCAAGTCACAGAGTTGAACCTTCATTTAGACAGAGCAGTTTTGAAAAACTCTTTCTGTGGAATTTGCAAGTGGAGATTACATGCGATTTAAGGCCAATCTTTGAAATGGAAATATCTCCGTGTAAAAACTAGACAGAATCATTGTCAGAAACTACTTTGTGATGTGTGCGTTCAGCTCACAGAGTTTCACCTTTCTTTTCATAGAGCAGTTTGGAAAGACTCTGTTTGTAATGTCTGCTAGTTAATACCTGGACCCCTTTGAGTCCTTCGTTGGAAGCGGAAATTTTTCATATACTGCTAGACAGAATAATTCTCAGTAAATCTTTGTGCTGTGTGTATTCAACACACAGAGTTGAACCTTCCTTTATCCAGAGCAGTTTTGAAACACTCTTTCTGTGGAATTTGCAAGTGGAGATTTCAAGCGATTTGACGCCAATCTTAGTCATGGAAATATCTTCGTAGTAAAACTACACAGAGTCATTCGCAGAAACTAGTTTCTGATGTGTGCCTTCAACTCACAGAGTTTAACCTTTCTTTTAATAGAGCAGTTTGGAAACACCCTATTTGTAAAGTCTGCAAGTGGATATTTGGACCTCTCTGAGGCCTTCGTTGGAAACGGGATTTCTTCATATAATGCTAGACAGAAGAATTCTCAGTAACTTCTTTGTGTTGTGTGTATTCAACTCACAGGGTTGAACCTTTCTTTACAGAGAGCAGATTTGAAACATTCTATCCGTGGAATTTGCTAGTGTAGATTTCAAACGCTTCGAGGACAATGGTAGAAAAGGATATATCTTCGTATTAGAACGAGAGAAAATCATTCTCAGAAAACACTTTGTAATGTGTGCGTTCAACTCACAGAGTTTAACCTTTCTTTTAATCGAGCAGTTTGGAAACACTCTCTTTGTAATGTCTGCAAGTGGTTAATTGGCCCTCTTTGAGGCCTTCTTTGGAAACGAGATTTCCTCACATAATGCTAGACAGAAGAATTCTCAGTCACTTCTTTGTGTTGTGTGTATTCAAGTCACAGAGTTGAACCTTCATTTAGACAGAGCAGTTTTGAAAAACTCTTTCTGTGGAATTTGCAAGTGGAGATTACATGCGATTTAAGGCCAATCTTTGAAATGGAAATATCTCCGCGTAAAAACTAGACAGAATCATTCTCAGAAACTACTTTGTGATGTGTGCGTTCAACTCACAGGGTTTAACCTTTCTTTTCATAGAGCAGTTTGGAAACACTCTGGTTGTAAAGTCTGCAAGTGCATATTTGGACTTCTTTGAGGCCTTCGTTGGAAATGGGATTTCTTCATATAATGCCAGACAGAAGAATTCTCAGTCACCTCTTTGTGTTGTGTGTATTGATCTCACAGATTTGAACCTTCCTTTAGACAGAGTAGTTTTGAAAAACTCTTTCTGTGGAATTTGCAAGTGGAGATTTCATGTGATTTGAGGCCAATCTTTGAAATGGAAATATCTTCGTGTAAAATTAGACAGAATCATTGTCAGAAACTAGTTTGTGATGTGTGCGTTCAGCTCACAGAGTTTCACCTTTCTTTTCATAGAGCAGTTTGGAAAGACTCTGTTTGTAATGTCTGCTAGTGAATACTTGGACCCCTTTGAGGCCTTCGTTAGAAGCGGAATTTTTTCATATACTGCTAGACAGAAAAATTCTCAGTGAAACTTTGTGCTGTGTGTATTCAACACACAGAGTTGAACGTTCCTTTATCCAGAGCAGTTTTGAAACACTCTTTCTGTGGAATTTGCAAGTGGAAATTTCAAGCGATTTGACGCCAATCTTAGTCATGGAAATATCTTCGTAGTAAAACTACACAGAGTCATTTGCAGAAACTAGTTTCTGATGTGAGCCTTCAACTCACAGAATTTAACCTTTCTTTTAATAGAGCAGTTTGGAAACACTCCATTTGTAAAGTCTGCAAGTGGATATTTGGACCTCTCTGAGGCCTTCGTTGGAAACGGGATTTCTTCATATAACGCTAGACAGAAGAATTCTCACTAACTTCTTTTTGTTGTGTGTATTCAACTCACAGGGTTGAACCTTTCTTTACAGAGAGCAGATTTGAAACATTCTTTCCGTGGAATTTGCTAGTGCAGATTTCAAACGCTTCGAGGACAATGGTAGAAAAGGGTATATCTTCGTATTAGAACGAGAGAAAATCATTCTCAGAAAACACTTTGTAATGTGTGCGTTCAACTCACAGAGTTTAACCTTTCTTTTAATCGAGCAGTTTGGAAACACTCTCTTTGTAATGTCTGCAAGTGGTTAATTGGCCCTCTTTGAGCCCTTCTTTGGAAACGAGATTTCCTCACATAAGGCTAGACAGAAGAATTCTCAGTAACTTCTTTGTGTTGTTTGTATTCAACTCACGGATTTGAACCTTCCTTTAGAGAGAGCAGATTTGAAACACTCTTTTTTTGTAATTTGCAAGTGCAGACTTCAAGCGCTTCTGGACCTATGGCAGAAAAGGAAATATCTTCGTATAAAAACTACACATAATCATTCTCAAGAACGACTTTGTGATGTGTGCGTTCAACCCACAGATTTTAACCTTTCTTTTAATCGAGCAGTTTGGAAACACTCTGTTTGTAAAGTCTGCAATTGCATATTTGGACTTCTTTGAGGCCTTCATTGGAAACGGGATATCTTCATATAATGCTAGACAGAAGAATTCTCAGTCACCTCTTTGTGTTGTGTGTATTGATCTCACAGATTTGAACCTTCCTTTAGACAGAGCAGTTTTGAAAAACTCTTTCTGTGGAATTTGCAAGTGGAGATTTCATGTGATTTGAGGCCAATCTTTGAAATGGAAATATCTTCGTGTAAAATTAGACAGAATCATTGTCAGAAACTACTTTGTGATGTGTGCGTTCAACTCACAGGGTTTAACCTTTCTTTTCATAGAGCAGTTTGGAAACACTCTGGTTGTAAAGTCTGCAAGTGCATATTTGGACTTCTTTGAGGCCTTCGTTGGAAATGGGATTTCTTCATATAATGCCAAACAGAAGAATTCTCAGTCACCTCTTTGTGTTGTGTGTATTGATCTCACAGATTTGAACCTTCCTTTAGACAGAGTAGTTTGAAAAACTCTTTCTGTGGAATTCGCAAGTGGAGATTTCATGTGATTTGAGGCCAATCTTTGAAATGGAAATATCTTCGTGTAAAATTAGACAGAATCATTGTCAGAAACTAGTTTGTGATGTGTGCGTTCAGCTCACAGAGTTCCACCTTTCTTTTCATAGATCAGTTTGGAAAGACTCTCTCTGTAATGTCTGCTACTGAATACTTGGACCCCTTTGAGGTCTTCGTTGGAAGCGGAATTTTTTCATATACTGCTGGACACAATAATTCTCAGTAAATCTTTGTGCTGTGTGTATTCAACACACACAGTTGAACCTTCCTTTATCCAGAGCAGTTTTGAAACACTCTTTCTGTGGAATTTACAAGTGGAGATTTCAAGCGATTTGACGCCAATCTTAGTGATGGAAATATCTTCGTAGTAAAACTACACAGAGTCATTCGCAGAAACTAGTTTCTGATGTGTGCCTTCAACTCACAGAATTTAACCTTTCTTTTAATAGAGCAGTTCGTAAACACTCCATTTGTAAAGTCTGCAAGTGGATAATTGGACCTCTCTGAGTCCTTCGTTGGAAACGGGATTTCTTCATATAACGCTAGACAGAAGAATTCTCAGTAACTTGTTTGTGTTGTGTGTATTCAACTCACAGGGTTGAACCTTTCTTTACAGAGAGCAGATTTGAAACATTCTTTCCGTGGAATTTGCTAGTGCAGATTTCAAACGCTTCGAGGACAATGGTAGAAAAGGATATATCTTCGTATTAGAACGAGAGAAAATCATTCTCAGAAAACACTTTATAATGTGTGCTTTCAACTCACAGAGTTTAACCTTTCTTTTAATCGAGCAGTTTGGAAACACTCTCTTTGTAATGTCTGCAAGTGGTTAATTGGCCCTCTTTGAGCCCTTCTTTGGAAACGAGATTTCCTCACATAATGCTAGACAGAAGAATTCTCAGTAACTTCTTTGTGTTGTTTGTATTCAACTCACGGATTTGAACCTTCCTTTAGAGAGAGCAAATTTGAAACACTCTTTTTTTGGAATTTGCAAGGGCAGATTTCAAGCGCTTCTAGGCCTATGGCAGAAAAGGAAATATCTTCGTATAAAAACTACACAGAATCATTCTCAGAAACTACTTTGTGATGTGTGCGTTCAACTCACAGGGTTTAACCTTTCTTTTCATAGAGCAGTTTGGAAACACTCTGGTTGTAAAGTCTGCAAGTGCATATTAGGACTTCTTTGAGGCCTTCGTTGGAAATGGGATTTCTTCATATAATGCCAGACAGAAGAATTCTCAGTCACTTCTTTGTGTTGTGTGTATTCAAGTCACAGAGTTGAACCTTCATTTAGACAGAGCAGTTTTGAAAAACTCTTTCTGTGGAATTTGCAAGTGGAGATTACATGCGATTTAAGGCCAATCTTTGAAATGGAAATATCTCCGTGTAAAAACTAGACAGAATCATTCTCAGAAACTACTTTGTGATGTGTGCGTTCAACTCACAGGGTTTAACCTTTCTTTTCATAGAGCAGTTTGGAAACACTCTGATTGTAAAGTCTGCAAGTGCATATTTGGACTTCTTTGAGGCCTTCGTTGGAAATGGGATTTCTTCATATAATGCCAGACAGAAGAATTCTCAGTCACCTCTTTGTGTTGTGTGTATTGATCTCACAGATTTGAACCTTCCTTTAGACAGAGTAGTTTTGAAAAACTCTTTCTGTGGAATTCGCAAGTGGAGATTTCATGTGATTTGAGGCCAATCTTTGAAATGGAAATATCTTCGTGTAAAATTAGACAGAATCATTGTCAGAAACTAGTTTGTGATGTGTGCGTTCAGCTCACAGAGTTTCACCTTTCTTTTCATAGAGCAGTTTGTAAAGACTCTCTTTGTAATGTCTGCTAGTGAATACTTGGACCCCTTTGAGGCCTTCGTTAGAAGCGGAATTTTTTCATATACTGCTAGACAGAAGAATTCTCAGTAAATCTTTGTGCTGTGTGTATTCAACACACAGAGTTGAACCATCCTTTATCCTGAGCAGTTTTGAAACACTCTTTGTGTGGAATTTGCAAGTGGAGAATTCAAGCGATTTGAGGCCAATCTTAGACATGGAAATATCTTCGTAGTAAAACTACACAGAGTCATTCACAGCAAACTAGTTTCAGATGTGTGCCTTCAACTCACAGAATTTAACCTTTCTTTTAATAGAGCAGTTTGGAAACATTCCATTTGTAAAGTCTGCAAGTGGATATTTGGACCTCTCTGAGTCCTTCGTTGGAAACGGGATTTCTTCATATAACGCTAGACAGAAGAATTCTCAGTAACTTCTTTGTGTTGTGTGTATTCAACTCACAGGGTTGAACCTTTCTTTACAGAGAGCAGATTTGAAACATTCTTTCCGTGGAATTTGCTAGTGCAGATTTCAAACGCTTCGAGGACAATGGTAGAAAAGGATATATCTTCGTATTAGAACGAGAGAAAATCATTCTCAGAAAACACTTTGTAATGTGTGCGTTCAACTCACAGAGTTTAACCTTTCTTTTAATCGAGCAGTTTGGAAACACTCTCTTTGTAATGTCTGCAAGTGGTTAATTGGCCCTCATTGAGGCCTTCTTTGGAAACGAGATTTCCTCACATAATGCTAGACAGAAGAATTCTCACTAACTTCTTTGTGTTGTGTGTATTCAACTCACAGGGTTGAACCTTTCTTTACAGAGAGCAGATTTGAAACATTCTTTCTGTGGAATTTGCTAGTGCAGATTTCAAACGCTTCGAGGACAATGGTAGAAAAGGATATATCTTCGTATAAAAACTACACAGAATCATTCTCAAGAACTACTTTGTGATGTGTGCGTTCAACTCACAGATTTTAACCTTTCTTTTAATCGAGCAGTTTGGAAACACTCTGTTTGTAAAGTCTGCAAGTGCATATTTGGACTTCTTTGAGGCCTTCGTTGGAAACGGGATTTCTTCATATACTGCTAGACAGAAGAATTCTCAGTCACTTCTTTGTGTTGTGTGTATTCAAGTCACAGAGTTGAACCTTCATTTAGACAGAGCAGTTTTGAAAAACTCTTTCTGTGGAATTTGCAAGTGGAGATTACATGCGATTTAAGGCCAATCTTTGAAATGGAAATATCTCCGTGTAAAAACTAGACAGAATCATTCTCAGAAACTACTTTGTGATGTGTGCGTTCAACTCACAGGGTTTAACCTTTCTTTTCATAGAGCAGTTTGGAAACACTCTGGTTGTAAAGTCTGCAAGTGCATATTTGGACTTCTTTGAGGCCTTCGTTGGAAATGGGATTTCTTCATATAATGCCAGACAGAAGAATTCTCAGTCACCTCTTTGTGTTGTGTGTATTGATCTCACAGATTTGAACCTTCCTTTAGACAGAGCAGTTTTGAAAAACTCTTTCTGTGGAATTTGCAAGTGGAGATTTCAAGTGATTTGAGGGCAATCTTTGAAATGGAAATATCTTCGTGTAAAATTAGACAGAATCATTGTCAGAAACTACTTTGTGATGTGTGCTTTCAGCTCACAGAGTTTCACCTTTCTTTTCATAGAGCAGTTTGGAAAGACTCTGTTTGTAATGTCTGCTAGTGAATACTTGGACCCCTTTGAGGCCTTCGTTAGAAGCGGAATTTTTTATATACTGCTAGACAGAAGAATTCTCAGTAAATCTTTCTGCTGTGTGTATTCAACACACAGAGTTGAACCATCCTTTATCCTGAGCAGTTTTGAAACACTCTTTGTGTGGAATTTGCAAGTGGAGAATTCAAGCGATTTGAGGCCAATCTTAGACATGGAAATATCTTCGTAGTAAAACTACACAGAGTCATTCGCAGAAACTAGTTTCTGATGTGTGCCTTGTAACTCACAGAATTTAACCTTTCTTTTAATAGAGCAGTTTGGAAACACTTTATTTGTAAAGTCTGCAAGTGGATATTTGGACCTCTCTGAGGCCTTCGTTGGAAACGGGATTTCTTCATATAACGCTAGACAGAAGAATTCTCAGTAACTTCTTTCTGTTGTGTGTATTCAACTCACAGGGTTGAACCTTTCTTTACAGAGAGCAGATGTGAAACATTCTTTCCGTGGAATTTGCTAGTGCAGATTTCAAACGCTTCGAGGACAATGGTAGAAAAGGATATATCTTTGTATTAGAACGAGAGAAAATCATTCTCAGAAAACACTTTGTAATGTGTGCGTTCAACTCACAGAGTTTAACCTTTCTTTTAATCGAGCAGTTTGGAAACACTCTCTTTGTAATGTCTGCAAGTGGTTAATTGGCCCTCTTTGAGCCCTTCTTTGGAAACGAGATTTCCTCACATAAGGCTAGACAGAAGAATTCTCAGTAACTTCTTTGTGTTGTTTGTATTCAACTCACGGATTTGAACCTTCCTTTAGAGAGATCAGATTTGAAACACTCTTTTTTTGGAATTTGCAAGTGCAGACTTCAAGCGCTTCTGGGCCTATGGCACAAAAGGAAATATCTTCGTATAAAAACTACACAGAATCATTCTCAAGAACTAATTTGTGATGTGTGCGTTCAACTCACAGATTTTAACCTTTCTTTTAATCGAGCAGTTTGGAAACACTCTGTTTGTAAAGTCTGCAAATGCATATTTGGACTTCTTTGAGGCCTTCGTTGGAAACGGGATTTCTTCATATAATGCCAGACAGAAGAATTCTCAGTCACCTCTTTGTGTTGTGTGTATTGATCTCACAGATTTGAACCTTCCTTTAGACAGAGTAGTTTTGAAAAACTCTTTCTGTGGAATTCGCAAGTGGAGATTTCATGTGATTTGAGGCCAATCTTTGAAATGGAAATATCTTCGTGTAAAATTAGACAGAATCATTCTCAGAAACTACTTTGTGATGTGTGCGTTCAGCTCACAGAGTTTCACCTTTCTTTTCATAGATCAGTTTGGAAAGACTCTCTCTGTAATGTCTGCTACTGAATACTTGGACCCCTTTGAGGTCTTCGTTGGAAGCGGAATTTTTTCATATACTGCTGGACAGAATAATTCTCAGTAAATCTTTGTGCTGTGTGTATTCAACACACAGAGTTGAACCTTCCTTTATCCAGAGCAGTTTTGAAACACTCTTTCTGTGGAATTTGCAAGTGGAGATTTCAAGCGATTTGACGCCAATCTTAGTCATAGAAATATCTTCGTAGTAAAACTACACAGAGTCATTCGCAGAAACTAGTTTCTGATGTGTGCCTTCAACTCACAGAATTTAACCTTTCTTTTAATAGAGCAGTTTGGAAGCACTCTATTTGTAAAGTCTGCAAGTGGATATTTGGACCTCTCTGAGGCCTTCGTTGGAAACGGGATTTCTTCATATAACGCTAGACAGAAGAATTCTCAGTAACTTCTTTGTGTTGTGTGTATTCAACTCACAGGGTTGAACCTTTCTTTACAGAGAGCAAATTTGAAACATTCTTTCCATGGAATTTGCTAGTGCAGATTTCAAACGCTTCGAGGACAATGGTAGAAAAGGATATATCTTCGTATTAGAACGAGAGAAAATCATTCTCAGAAAACACTTTGTAATGTGTGCGTTCAACTCACAGAGTTTAACCTTTCTTTTAATCGAGCAGTTTGGAAACACTGTCTTTGTAATGTCTGCAAGTGGTTAATTGGCCCTCTTTGAGCCCGTCTTTGGAAACGAGATTTCCTCACATAAGGCTAGACAGAAGAATTCTCAGTAACTTCTTTGTGTTGTTTGTATTCAACTCACGGATTTGAACCTTCCTTTAGAGAGAGCAGATTCGAAACACTCTTTTTTTTGAATTTGCAAGGCCAGATTTCAAGCGCTTCTAGGCCTATGGCAGAAAAGGAAATATCTTCGTATAAAAACTACACAGAATCATTCTCAAGAACCACTTTGTGATGTGTGCGTTCAACTCACAGATTTTAACATTTCTTTTAATCGAGCAGTTGGGAAACACTCTGTTTGTAAAGTCTGCAAGTGCATATTTGGACTTCTTTGAGGCCTTCGTTGGAAACGGGATTTCTTCATATAATGCTAGACAGAAGAATTCTCAGTCACCTCTTTGTGTTGTGTGTATTGATCTCACAGATTTGAACCTTCCTTTAGACAGAGCAGTTTTGAAAAACTCTTTCTGTGGAATTTGCAAGTGGAGATTTCAAGTGATTTGAGGGCAATCTTTGAAATGGAAATATCTTCGTGTAAAATTAGACAGAATCATTCTCAGAAACTACTTTGTGATGTGTGCGTTCAGCTCACAGAGTTTCACCTTTCTTTTCATAGATCAGTTTGGAAAGACTCTCTCTGTAATGTCTGCTACTGAATACTTGGACCCCTTTGAGGTCTTCGTTGGAAGCGGAATTTTTTCATATACTGCTGGACAGAAGAATTCTCAGTAAATCTTTGTGCTGTGTGTATTCAACACACAGAGTTGAACCTTCCTTTATCCAGAGCAGTTTTGAAACACTCTTTCTGTGGAATTTGCAAGTGGAGATTTCAAGCGATTTGACGCCAATCTTAGTCATGGAAATATCTTCGTAGTAAAACTACACAGAGTCTTTCGCAGAAACTACATTCTGATGTGTGCCTTCAACTCACAGAATTTAACCTTTCTTTTAATAGAGCAGTTTGGAAACACTCCATTTGTAAAGTCTGCAAGTGGATATTTGGACCTCTCTGAGGCCTTCGTTGGAAACGGGATTTCTTCATATAACGCTAGACAGAAGAATTCTCAGTAACTTCTTTGTGTTGTGTGTATTCAACTCACAGGGTTGAACCTTTCTTTACAGAGAGCAGATTTGAAACATTCTTTCCGTGGAATTTGCTAGTGCAGATTTCAAACGCTTTGAGGACAATGGTAGAAAAGGATATATCTTCGTATTAGAACGAGAGAAAATCATTCTCAGAAAACACTTTGTAATGTGTGCGTTCAACTCACAGAGTTTAACCTTTCTTTTAATCGAGCACTTTGGAAACACTGTCTTTGTAATGTCAGCAAGTCGTTAATTGGTCCTCTTTGAGCCCGTCTTTGGAAACGAGATTTCCTCATATAATGCTAGACAGAAGAATTCTCAGCAACTTCTTTGTGTTGTTTGTATTCAACTCACGGATTTGAAGCTTCCTTTAGAGAGAGCAGATTTGAAACTCTCTTTTTTTGGAATTTGCAAGAGCAGATTTCAAGCGCTTCTAGGCCTATGGCAGAAAAGGAAATATCTTCGTATAAAAACTACACAGAATCATTCTCAAGAACCACTTTGTGATGTGTGCGTTCAACTCACTCATTTTAACCTTTCTTTTAATCGAGCAGTTTGGAAACACTCTGTTTGTAAAGTCTGCAAGTGCATATTTGTACTTCTTTGAGGCCTTCGTTTGAAACGGGATTTCTTCATATACTGCTAGACAGAAGAATTCTCAGTCACCTCTTTGTGTTGTGTGTATTCATCTCAAAGATTTGAACCTTCCTTTAGACAGAGCAGTTTTGAAAAACTCTTTCTGTGGAATTTGCAAGTGGAGATTTCAAGTGATTTGAGGCCAATCTTTGAAATGGAAATATCTTCGTGTAAAATTAGACAGAATCATTCTCAGAAACTACTTTGTGATGTGTGCGTTCAGCTCACAGAGTTTCACCTTTCTTTTCATAGATCAGTTTAGAAAGACTCTCTCTGTAATGTCTGCTACTGAATACTTGGACCCCTTTGAGGTCTTCGTTGGAAGCGGAATTTTTTCATATACTGCTGGACAGAATAATTCTCAGTAAATCTTTGTGCTGTGTGTATTCAACACACAGAGTTGAACCTTCCTTTATCCAGAGCAGTTTTGAAACACTCTTTCTGTGGAATTTGCAAGTGGAGATTTCAAGCGATTTGACGCCAATCTTAGTCATGGAAATATCTTCGTAGTAAAACTACACAGAGTCATTCGCAGAAACTAGTTTCTGATGTGTGCCTTCAACTCACAGAATTTAATCTTTCTTTTAATAGAGCAGTTTGGAAACACATCATTTGTAAAGACTGCAAGTGGTTATTTGGACCTCTCTGAGGCCTTCGTTGGAAACGGGATTTCTTCATATAACGCTAGACAGAAGAATTCTCACTAACTTCTTTGTGTTGTGTGTATTCAACTCACAGGGTTGAACCTTTCTTTACAGAGAGCAGATTTGAAACATTCTTTCCGTGGAATTTGCTAGTGCAGATTTCAAACGCTTCGAGGACAATGGTAGAAAAGGATATATCTTCGTATAAAAACTACACAGAATCATTCTCAGAAAACACTTTGTAATGTGTGCGTTCAACTCACAGAGTTTAACCTTTCTTTTAATCGAGCAGTTTGGAAACACTCTCTTTGTAATGTCTGCAAGTGGTTAATTGGCCCTCTTTGAGCCCTCCTTTGGAAACGAGATTTCCTCACATAATGCTAGACAGAAGAATTCTCAGTAACTTCTTTGTGTTGTTTGTATTCAACTCACGGATTTGAACCTTCCTTTAGAGAGAGCAGATTTGAAACACTCTTTTTTTGTAATTTGCAAGTGCAGACTTCAAGCGCTTCTGGACCTATGGCAGAAAAGGAAATATCTTCGTATAAAAACTACACATAATCATTGTCAGAAACTACTTTGTGATGTGTGCGTTCAACTCACAGGGTTTAACCTTTCTTTTCATAGAGCAGTTTGGAAACACTCTGGTTGTAAAGTCTGCAAGTGCATATTTGGACTTCTTTGAGGCCTTCGTTGGAAATGGGATTTCTTCATATAATGCCAAACAGAAGAATTCTCAGTCACCTCTTTGTGTTGTGTGTATCGATCTCACAGATTTGAACCTTCCTTTAGACAGGGCAGTTTTGAAAAACTCTTTCTGTGGAATTTGCAAGTGGAGATTTCAAGTGATTTGAGGCCAATCCTTGAAATGGAAATATCTTCGTGTAAAATTAGACAGAATCATTCTCAGAAACTACTTTGTGATGTGTGCGTTCAGCTCACAGAGTTTCACCTTTCTTTTCATAGATCAGTTTGGAAAGACTCTCTGTGTAATGTCTGCTACTGAATACTTGGACCCCTTTGAGGTCTTCGTTGGAAGCGGAATTTTTTCATATACTGCTGGACAGAATAATTCTCAGTAAATCTTTGTGCTGTGTGTATTCAACACACAGAGTTGAACGTTCCTTTATCCAGAGCAGTTTTGAAACACTCTTTCTGTGGAATTTGCAAGTGGAGATTTCAAGCGATTTGACGCCAATCTTAGTCATGGAAATATCTTCGTAGTAAAACTACACAGAGTCATTCGCAGAAACTAGGTTCTGATGTGTGCCTTCAACTCACAGAATTTAACCTTTCTTTTAATAGAGCAGTTTGGAAACACTCTATTTGTAAAGTCTGCAAGTGGATATTTGGACCTCTCTGAGGCCTTCGTTGGAAACGGGATTTCTTCATATAACGCTAGACAGAAGAATTCTCAGTAACTTCTTTGTGTTGTGTGTATTCAACTCACAGGGTTGAACCTTTCTTTACAGAGAGCAGATTTGAAACATTCTTTCCGTGGAATTTGCTAGTGCAGATTTCAAATGCTTCGAGGACAATGGTAGAAAGGGATATATCTTCGTATTAGAACGAGAGAAAATCATTCTCAGAAAACACTTTGTAATGTGTGCGTTCAACTCACAGAGTTTAACCTTTCTTTTAATCGAGCAGTTTGGAAACACTCTCTTTGTAATGTCTGCAAGTGGTTAATTGGCCCTCATTGAGGCCTTCTTTGGAAACGAGATTTCCTCACATAATGCTAGACAGAAGAATTCTCAGTAACTTCTTTGTGTTGTTTGTATTCAACTCACGGATTTGAACCTTCCTTTAGAGAGAGCAGATTTGATACACACTTTTTTTGGAATTTGCAAGTGCAGACTTCAAGCGCTTCTGGGCCTATGGCAGAAAAGGAAATATCTTCGTATAAAAACTACACAGAATCATTCTCAAGAACCACTTTGTGATGTGTGCGTTCAACTCACAGATTTTAACCTTTCTTTTAATCGAGCAGTTTGGAAACACTCTGTTTGTAAAGTCTGCAAGTGCATATTTGGACTTCTTTGAGGCCTTCATTGGAAACGGGATTTCTTCATATAATGCTAGACAGAAGAATTCTCAGTCACCTCTTTGTGTTGTGTGTATTGATCTCACAGATTTGAACCTTCCTTTAGACAGAGCAGTTTTGAAAAACTATTTCTGTGGAATTTGCAAGTGGAGATTACATGCGGTTTAAGGCCAATCTTTGAAATGGAAATATCTCCGTGTAAAAACTAGACAGAATCATTCTCAGAAACTACTTTGTGATGTGTGCGTTCAACTCACAGGGTTTAACCTTTCTTTTCATAGAGCAGTTTGGAAACACTCTGGTTGTAAAGTCTGCAAGTGCATATTTGGACTTCTTTGAGGCCTTCGTTGGAAATGGGATTTCTTCATATAATGCCAAACAGAAGAATTCTCAGTAACTTCTTTCTGTTGTGTGTATTCAAGTCACAGAGTTGAACCTTCCTTTAGACAGAGCAGTTTTGAAAAACTCTTTCTGTGGAATTTGCAAGTGGAGATTTCAAGCGATTTGAGGCCAATCTTTGAAATGGAAATCTCTTCGTGTAAAAACTACACAGAATCATTCTCAGAAACTACTTTGTGATGTGTGCGTTCAGCTCACAGAGTTTCACCTTTCTTTTCATAGGTCAGTTTGGAAAGACTCTCTCTGTAATGTCTGCTACTGAATACTTGGACCCCTTTGAGGTCTTCGTTGGAAGCGGAATTTTTTCATATACTGCTGGACAGAAAAATTCTCAGTAAAACTTTGTGCTGTGTGTATTCAACACACAGAGTTGAACGTTCCTTTATCCAGAGCAGTTTTGAAACACTCTTTCTGTGGAATTTGCAAGTGGAGATTTCAAGCGATTTGACGCCAATCTTAGTCATGGAAATATCTTCGTAGTAAAACTACACAGAGTCATTCGCAGAAACTAGTTTCTGATGTGTGCCTTCAACTCACAGAATTTAACCTTTCTTTTAATAGAGCAGTTTGGAAACACTCCATTTGTAAAGTCTGCAAGTGGACATTTGGACCTCTCTGAGGCCTTCATTGGAAACGGGATTTCTTCATATAACGCTAGACAGAAGAATTCTCAGTAACTTCTTTGTGTTGTGTGTATTCAACTCACAGGGTTGAACCTTTCTTTACAGAGAGCAGATTTGAAACATTCTTTCCGTGGAATTTGCTAGTGCAGATTTCAAACGCTTTGAGGACAATGGTAGAAAGGGATATATCTTCGTATTAGAACGAGAGAAAATCATTCTCAGAAAACACTTTGTAATGTGTGCGTTCAACTCACAGAGTTTAACCTTTCTTTTAACTGAGCAGTTTGGAAACACTGTCTTTGTAATGTATGCAAGTGGTTAATTGGCCCTCTTTGAGCCCTTCTTTGGAAACGAGATTTCCTCATATAATGCTAGACAGAAGAATTCTCAGTAACTTCTTTGTGTTGTTTGTATTCAACTCACGGATTTGAACCTTCCTTTAGAGAGAGCAGATTTGAAACACTCTTTTTTTGGAATTTGCAAGTGCAGACTTCAAGCGCTTCTGGGCCTATGGCAGAAAAGGAAATATCTTCGTATAAAAACTACACAGAATCATTCTCAAGAACTACTTTGTGATGTGTGCGTTCAACTCACAGATTTTAACCTTTCTTTTAATCGAGCAGTTTGGAAACACTCTGGTTGTAAAGTCTGCAAGTGCATATTTGGACTTCTTTGAGGCCTTCATTGGAAACGGGATTTCTTCATATAATGCTAGACAGAAGAATTCTCAGTCACCTCTTTGTGTTGTGTGTATTGATCTCACAGATTTGAACCTTCCTTTAGACAGAGCAGTTTTGAAAAACTCTTTCTGTGGAATTTGCAAGTGGAGATTTCATGTGATTTGAGGCCAATCTTTAAAATGGAATTATCTTCGTGTAAAATTAGACAGAATCATTCTCAGAAACTACTTTGTGATGTGTGCGTTCAGCTCACAGAGTTTCACCTTTCTTTTCATAGATCAGTTTAGAAAGACTCTCTCTGTAATGTCTGCTACTGAATACTTGGACCCCTTTGAGGTCTTCGTTGGAAGCGGAATTTTTTCATATACTGCTGGACAGAAGAATTCTCAGTAAATCTTTGTGCTGTGTGTATTCAACACACAGAGTTGAACCATCCTTTATCCTGAGCAGTTTTGAAACACTCTTTGTGTGGAATTTGCAAGTGGAGAACTCAAGCGATTTGAGGCCAATCTTAGACATGGAAATATCTTCGTAGTAAAACTACACAGAGTCATTCGCAGAAACTAGTTTCTGATGTGTGCCTTCAACTCACAGAGTTTAATCTTTCTTTTAATAGAGCAGTTTGGAAACACTCCATTTGGAAAGTCTGCAAGTGGTTATTTGGACCTCTCTGAGGCCTTCGTTGGAAACGGGATTTCTTCATATAACGCTAGACAGAAGAATTCTCACTAACTTCTTTGTGTTGTGTGTATTCAACTCACAGGGTTGAACCTTTCTTTACAGAGAGCAGATTTGAAACATTCTTTCCGTGGAATTTGCTAGTGCAGATTTCAAACGCTTCGAGGACAATGGTAGAAAAGGATATATCTTCGTATAAAAACTACACAGAATCATTCTCAAGAACTACTTTGTGATGTGTGCGTTCAACTCACAGATTTTAACCTTTATTTTAATCGAGCAGTTTGGAAACACTCTGTTTGTAAAGTCTGCAAGTGCATATTTGGACTTCTTTGAGGCCTTCGTTGGAAACGGGATTTCTTCATATACTGCTAGACAGAAGAATTATCAGTCACCTCTTTGTGTTGTGTGTATTCATCTCACAGATTTGAACCTTCCTTTAGACAGAGCAGTTTTGAAAAACTCTTTCTGTGGAATTTGCAAGTGGAGATTTCAAGTGATTTGAGGCCAATCTTTGAAATGGAAATATCTTCGTGTAAAATTAGACAGAATCATTGTCAGAAACTACTTTGTGATGTGTGCGTTCAGCTCACAGAGTTTCACCTTTCTTTTCATAGAGCAGTTAGGAAAGACTCTGCCTGTAATGTCTGCTAGTGAATATTTGGACCCCTTTGAGGCCTTCGTTGGAAGCGGAATTTTTTCATATACTGCTAGACAGAAGAATTCTCAGTAAATCTTTGTGCTGTGTGTATTCAACACACAGAGTTGAACCATCCTTTATCCTGAGCAGTTTTGAAACACTCTTTGTGTGGAATTTGCAAGTGGAGAATTCAAGCGATTTGAGGCCAATCTTAGACATGGAAATATCTTCGTAGTAAAACTACACAGAGTCATTCGCAGAAACTAGTTTCTGATGTGTGCCTTCAACTCACAGGGTTTAATCTTTCTTTTAATAGAGCAGTTTGGAAACACTCCATTTGGAAAGTCTGCAAGTGGTTATTTGGACCTCTCTGAGGCCTTCGTTGGAAACGGGATTTCTTCATATAACGCTAGACAGAAGAATTCTCAGTAACTTCTTTGTGTTGTGTGTATTCAACTCACAGGGTTGAACCTTTCTTTACAGAGAGCAGATTTGAAACATTCTTTCCGTGGAATTTGCTAGTGCAGATTTCAAACGCTTCGAGGACAATGGTAGAAAGGGATATATCTTCGTATTAGAACGAGAGAAAATCATTCTCAGAAAACACTTTGTAATGTGTGCGTTCAACTCACAGAGTTTAACCTTTCTTTTAATCGAGCAGTTTGGAAACACTGTCTTTGTAATGTCTGCAAGTGGTTAATTGGCCCTCTTTGAGCCCTTCTTTGGAAACGAGATTTCCTCATATAATGCTAGACAGAAGAATTCTCAGTAACTTCTTTGTGTTGTTTGTATTCAACTCACGGATTTGAACCTTCCTTTAGAGAGAGCAGATTTGAAACACTCTTTTTTTGGAATTTGCAAGGGCAGATTTCAAGCGCTTCTAGGCCTATGGCAGAAAAGGAAATATCTTCGTATAAAAACTACACAGAATCATTCTCGAGAACTACTTTGTGATGTGTGCGTTCAACTCACAGATTTTAACCTTTCTTTTAATCGAGCAGTTTGGAAACACTCTGGTTGTAAAGTCTGCAAGTGCATATTTGGACTTCTTTGAGGCCTTCGTTGGAAACGGGATTTCTTCATATACTGCTAGACAGAAGAATTCTCAGTCACTTCTTTGTGTTGTGTGTATTCAAGTCACAGAGTTGAACCTTCATTTAGACAGAGCAGTTTTGAAAAACTCTTTCTGTGGAATTTGCAAGTGGAGATTACATGCGATTTAAGGCCAATCTTTGAAATGGAAATATCTCCGTGTAAAAACTAGACAGAATCATTCTCAGAAACTACTTTGTGATGTGTGCGTTCAACTCACAGGGTTTAACCTTTCTTTTCATAGAGCAGTTTGGAAACACTCTGATTGTAAAGTCTGCAAGTGCATATTTGGACTTCTTTGAGGCCTTCGTTGGAAATGGGATTTCTTCATATAATGCCAGACAGAAGAATTCTCAGTCACCTCTTTGTGTTGTGTGTATTGATCTCACAGATTTGAACCTTCCTTTAGACAGAGCAGTTTTGAAAAACTCTTTCTGTGGAATTTGCAAGTGGAGATTTCATGTGATTTGAGGCCAATCTTTGAAATGGAAATATCTTCGTGTAAAATTAGACAGAATCATTGTCAGAAACTACTTTGTTATGTGTGCGTTCAGCTCACAGAGTTTCACCTTTCTTTTCATAGAGCAGTTTGGAAAGACTCTGTCTGTAATGTCTGCTAGTGAATATTTGGACCCCTTTGAGGCCTTCGTTGGAAGCGGAATTTTTTCATATACTGCTAGACAGAAGAATTCTCAGTAAATCTTTGTGCTGTGTGTATTCAACACACAGAGTTGAACCATCCTTTATCCTGAGCAGTTTTGAAACAGTCTTTGTGTAGAATTTGCAAGTGGAGAATTCAAGCGATTTGAGGCCAATCTTAGACATGGAAATATCTTCGTAGTAAAACTACACAGAGTCATTCGCAGAAACTAGTTTCTGATGTGTGCCTTCAACTCACAGAATTTAACCTTTCTTTTAATAGAGCAGTTTGGAAACACTCTATTTGTAAAGTCTGCAAGTGGATATTTGGACCTCTCTGAGGCCTTCGTTGGAAACGGGATTTCTTCATATAACGCCAGACAGAAGAATTCTCAGTAACTTCTTTGTGTTGTGTGTATTCAACTCACAGGGTGGAACCTTTCTTTACAGAGAGCAGATTTGAAACATTCTTTCCGTGGAATTTGCTAGTGCAGATTTCAAACGCTTCGAGGACAATTGTAGAAAAGGATATATCTTCGTATTAGAACGAGAGAAAATCATTCTCAGAAAACAGTTTGTAATGTGTGCGTTCAAGTCACAGAGTTTAACCTTTCTTTTAACTGAGCAGTTTGGAAACACTCTCTTTGTAATGTCTGCAATTGGTTAATTGGCCCTCTTTGAGCCCTCCTTTGGAAATGAGATTTCCTCATATAATGCTAGACAGAAGAATTCTCAGTAACTTCTGTGTGTTGTTTGTATTCAACTCACGGATTTGAACCTTCCTTTAGAGAGAGCAGATTTGAAACACTCTTTTTTTGGAATTTGCAAGTGCAGACTTCAAGCGCTTCTGGGCCTATGGCATAAAAGGAAATATCTTCGTATAAAAATTACACAGAATCATTCTCAAGAACTACTTTGTGATGTGTGCGTTCAACTCACAGATTTTAACCTTTCTTTTAATCGAGCAGTTTGGAAACACTCTGGTTGTAAAGTCTGCAAGTGCATATTTGGACTTCTTTGAGGCCTTCGTTGGAACCGGGATTTCTTCATATAATGCTAGACAGAAGAATTCTCAGTCACCTCTTTGTGTTGTGTGTATTGATCTCACAGATTTGAACCTTCCTTTAGACAGAGCAGTTTTGAAAAACTCTTTCTGTGAAATTTGCAAGTGGAGATTTCAAGTGATTTGAGGCCAATCTTTGAAATGGAAATATCTTCGTGTAAAATTAGACAGAATCATTCTCAGAAACTACTTTGTGATGTGTGCGTTCAGCTCACAGAGTTTCACCTTTCTTTTCATAGAGCAGTTTGGAAAGACTCTGTTTGTAATGTCTGCTAGTGAATACTTGGACCCCTTTGAGGCCTTCGTTAGAAGCGGAATTTTTTCATATACTGCTAGACAGAAGAATTCTCAGTAAATCTTTGTGCTGTGTGTATTCAACACACAGAGTTGAACCTTCCTTTATCCTGAGCAGTTTTGAAACACTCTTTATGTGGAATTTGCAAGTGGAGATTTCAAGCGATTTGACGCCAATCTTAGTCATGGAAATATCTTCGTAGTAAAACTACACAGAGTCATTCGCAGAAACTAGTTTCTGATGTGTGCCTTCAACTCACAGAATTTAACCTTTCTTTTAATAGAGCAGTTTGGAAACACTCCATTTGTAAAGTCTGCAAGTGGATATTTGGACCTCTCTGAGGCCTTCGTTCGAAACGGGATTTCTTCATATAACGCTAGACAGAAGAATTCTCAGTAACTTCTTTCTGTTGTGTGTATTCAACTCACAGGGTTGAACCTTTCTTTACAGAGAGCAGATTTGAAACATTCTTTCCGTGGAATTTGCTAGTGCAGATTTCAAACGCTTCGAGGACAATGGTAGAAAAGGATATATCTTCGTATTAAAACGAGAGAAAATCATTCTCAGAAAACACTTTGTAATGTGTGCGTTCAACTCACAGAGTTTAACCTTTCTTTTAACTGAGCAGTTTGGAAACACTGTCTTTGTAATGTATGCAAGTGGTTAATTGGCCCTCTTTGAGCCCTTCTTTGGAAACGAGATTTCCTCATATAATGCTAGACAGAAGAATTCTCAGTAACTTCTTTGTGTTGTTTGTATTCAACTCACGGATTTGAACCTTCCTTTAGAGAGAGCAGATTTGAAACACTCTTTTTTTGGAATTTGCAAGTGCAGACTTCAAGCGCTTCTGGGCCTATGGCAGAAAAGGAAATATCTTCGTATAAAAACTACACAGAATCATTCTCAAGAACTACTTTGTGATGTGTGCGTTCAACTCACAGATTTTAACCTTTCTTTTAATCGAGCAGTTTGGAAACACTCTGTTTGTAAAGTCTGCAAGTGCATATTTGGACTTCTTTGAGGCCTTCGTTGGAACCGGGATTTCTTCATATACTGCTAGACAGAAGAATTCTCAGTCGTTTCTTTGTGTTGTGTGTATTCAAGACACAGAGTTGAATCTTCATTTAGACAGAGAAGTTTTGAAAAACTCTTTCTGTGGAATTTGCAAGTGGATATTACATGCGATTTAAGGCCAATCTTTGAAATGGAAATATCTCCGTGTAAAAACTAGACAGAATCATTGTCAGAAACTACTTTGTGATGTGTGCGTTGAACTCACAGGGTTTAACCTTTCTTTTCATAGAGCAGTTTGGAAACTCTCTGGTTGTAAAGTCTGCAAGTGCATATTTGGACTTCTTTGAGGCCTTCGTTGGAAATGGGATTTCTTCATATAATGCCAAACAGAAGAATTCTCAGTCACCTCTTTGTATTGTGTGTATTGATCTCACAGATTTGAACCTTCCTTTAGACAGAGTAGTTTTGAAACACTCTTTCTGTGGAATTCGCAAGTGGAGATTTCATGTGATTTGAGGCCAATCTTTGAAATGGAAATATCTTCGTGTAAAATTAGACAGAATCATTGTCAGAAACTAGTTTGTGATGTGTGCATTCAGCTCACAGAGTTTCACCTTTCTTTTCATAGAGCAGTTTGTAAAGACTCTGTTTGTAATGTCTGCTAGTGAATACTTGGACCCCTTTGAGGCCTTCGTTAGAAGCGGAATTTTTTCATATACTGCTAGACAGAAAAATTCTCAGTAAAACTTTGTGCTGTGTGTATTCAACACACAGAGTTGAACGTTCCTTTATACAGAGCAGTTTTGAAGCACTCTTTCTGTGGAATTTGCAAGTGGAGATTTCAAGCGATTTGACGCCAATCTTAGTCATGGTAATATCTTCGTAGTAAAACTACACAGAGTCATTCGCAGAAACTAGTTTCTGTTGTGTGCCTTCAACTCACAGAATTTAACCTTTCTTTTAATAGAGCAGTTTGGAAACACTCTATTTGTAAAGTCTGCAAGTGGATATTTGGACCTCTCTGAGGCCTTCGTTGGAAACGGGATTTCTTCATATAACACTAGACAGAAGAATTCTCAGTAACTTCTTTGTGTTGTGTGTATTCAACTCACAGGGTTGAACCTTTCTTTCAGAGAGCAGGTTTGAAACATTCTTTAAGTGGAATTTGCTAGTGCAGATTTCAAACGCTTCGAGGACAATGGTAGAAAAGGATATATCTTCGTATTAGAACGAGAGAAAATCATTCTCAGAAAACACTTTGTAATGTGTGCGTTCAACTCACAGAGTTTAACCTTTCTTTTAATCGAGCAGTTTGGAAACACTCTCTTTGTAATGTCTGCAAGTGGTTAATTGGCCCTCTTTGAGCCCTTCTTTGGAAACGAGATTTCCTCACATAAGGCTAGACAGAAGAATTCTCAGTAACTTCTTTGTGATGTTTTCTTCAACTCACGGGTTTGAACCTTCCTTTAGAGAGAGCAGATTTGAAACACTCTTTCTTTGGAATTTGCAAGGGCAGATTTCATGCGCTTCGAGGCCTATGGCAGAAAAGGAAATATCTTCGTATAAAAACTACACAGAATCATTCTCAAGAACCACTTTGTGATGTGTGCGTTCAACTCACAGATTTTAACCTTTCTTTTAATCGAGCAGTTTGGAAACACTCTGTTTGTAAAGTCTGCAAATGCGTATTTGGACTTCTTTGAGGCCTTCATTGGAAACGGGATTTCTTCATATAATGCTAGACAGAAGAATTCTCAGTCACCTCTTTGTGTTGTGTGTATTGATCTCACAGATTTGAACCTTCCTTTAGACAGAGCAGTTTTGAAAAACTATTTCTGTGGAATTTGCAAGTGGAGATTACATGCGGTTTAAGGCCAATCTTTGAAATGGAAATATCTCCGTGTAAAAACTAGACAGAATCATTGTCAGAAACTACTTTGTGATGTGTGCGTTCAGCTCACAGAGTTTCACCTTTCTTTTCATAGAGCAGTTTGGAAAGACTCTGTTTGTAATGTCTGCTAGTGAATACTTGGACCCCTTTGAGGCCTTCGTTAGAAGCGGAATTTTTTCATATACTGCTAGACAGAAGAATTCTCAGTAAATCTTTGTGCTGTGTGTATTCAACACACAGAGTTGAACCTTCCTTTATCCTGAGCAGTTTTGAAACACTCTTTCTGTGGAATTTGCAAGTGGAGATTTCAAGCGATTTGACGCCAATCTTAGTCATGGAAATATCTTCGTAGTAAAACTACACAGAGTCATTCGCAGAAACTAGTTTCTGATGTGTGCCTTCAACTCACAGAGTGTAACCTTTCTTTTAATAGAGCAGTTTGGAAACTCTCCATTTGTAAAGTCTGAAAGTGGATATTTGGACCTCTCTGAGGCATTCGTTGGAAACGGGATTTCTTCATACAAGGCTAGACAGAAGAATTCTCAGTAACTTCTTTGTGTTGTGTGTATTCAACTCACAGGGTTGAACCTTTCTTTACAGAGAGCAGATTTGAAACATTCTTTCCATGGAATTTGCTAGTGCAGATTTCAAACGCTTCGAGGACAATGGTAGAAAAGGATATATCTTCGTATTAGAACGAGAGAAAATCATTCTCAGGAAACACTTTGTAATGTGTGCGTTCAACTCACAGAGTTTAACCTTTCTTTTAATCGAGCAGTTTGGAAACACTCTCTTTGTAATGTCTGCAAGTGGTTAATTGGCCCTCTTTGAGCCCTTCTTTGGAAACGAGATTTCCTCACATAATGCTAGACAGAAGAATTCTCAGTAACTTCTTTGTGTTGTTTGTATTCAACTCACGGATTTGAACCTTCCTTTAGAGAGAGCAGATTTGAAACACTCTTTTTTTGGAATTTGCAAGTGCAGACTTCAAGCGCTTCTGGGCCTATGGCAGAAAAGGAAATATCTTCGTATAAAACCTACACAGAATCATTCTCAAGAACTACTTTGTGATGTGTGCGTTCAACTCACAGATTTTAACCTTTCTTTTAATCGAGCAGTTTGGAAACACTCTGTTTGTAAAGTCTGCAAGTGCATATTTGGACTTCTTTGAGGCCTTCGTTGGAAACGGGATTTCTTCATATACTGCTAGACAGAAGAATTCTCAGTCACCTCTTTGTGTTGTGTGTATTGATCTCACAGATTTGAACCTTCCTTTAGACAGAGCAGTTTTGAAAAACTCTTTCTGTGGAATTTGGAAGTGGAGATTTCAAGTGATTTGAGGCCAATCTTTGAAATGGAAATATCTTCTTGTAAAATTAGACAGAATCATTGTCAGAAACTAGTTTGTGATGTGTGCGTTCAGCTCACAGAGTTTCACCTTTCTTTTCATAGAGCAGTTTGGAAAGACTCTGTTTGTAATGTCTGCTAGTGAATACTTGGACCCCTTTGAGGCCTTCGTTAGAAGCGGAATTTTTTCATATACTGCTAGACAGAAGAATTCTCAGTAAATCTTTTTGCTGTGTGTATTCAACACACAGAGTTGAACCTTCCTTTATCCAGAGCAGTTTTGAAACACTCTTTCTGTGGAATTTGCAAGTGGAGATTTCAAGCGATTTGACGCCAATCTTAGTCATGGAAATATCTTCGTAGTAAAACTACACAGAGTCATTCGCAGGAACTAGTTTCTGATGTGTGCCTTCAACTCACAGAGTTTAACCTTTCTTTTAATAGAGCAGTTTGGAAACTCTCCATTTATAAAGTCTGCAAGTGGATATTTGGACCTCTCTGAGGCCTTCGTTGGAAACGGGATTTCTTCATATAACGCTAGACAGAAGAATTCTCAGTAACTTCTTTGTGTTGTGTGTTATTCAACTCACAGGGTTGAACCTTTCTTTACAGAGAGCAGATTTGAAACATTCTTTCCATGGAATTTGCTAGTGCAGATTTCAAACGCTTCGAGGACAATGGTGGAAAAGGATATATCTTCGTATTAGAACGAGAGAAAATCATTCTCAGAAAACACTTTGTAATGTGTGCGTTCAACTCACAGAGTTTAACCTTTCTTTTAATCGAGCAGTTTGGAAACACTGTCTTTGTAATGTCTGCAAGTGGTTAATTGGCCCTCTTTGAGCCCGTCTTTGGAAACGAGATTTCCTCACATACGGCTAGACAGAAGAATTCTCAGCAACTTCTTTGTGTTGTTTGTATTCAACTCACGGATTTGAAGCTTCCTTTAGAGAGAGCAGATTTGAAACACTCTTTTTTTGGAATTTGCAAGAGCAGATTTCAAGCGCTTCTAGGCCTATGGCAGAAAAGGAAATATCTTCGTATAAAAACTACACAGAATCATTCTCAGAAACTACTTTGTGATGTGTGCATTCAACTCACAGGGTTTAACCTTTCTTTTCATAGAGCAGTTTGGAAACACTCTGGTTGTAAAGTCTGCAAGTGCATATTTGGACTTCTTTGAGGCCTTCGTTGGAAACGGGATTTCTTCATATAATGCTAGACAGAAGAATTCTCAGTCACCTCTTTGTGTTGTGTGTATTAATCTCACAGATTTGAACCTTCCTTTAGACAGAGCAGTTTTGAAAAACTCTTTCTGTGGAATTCGCAAGTGGAGATTTCAAGTGATTTGAGGCCAATCTTTGAAATGGAAATATCTTCGTGTAAAATTAGACAGAATCATTGTCAGAAACTACTTTGTTATGTGTGCGTTCAGCTCACAGAGTTTCACCTTTCTTTTCATAGAGCAGTTTGGAAAGACTCTGTCTGTAATGTCTGCTAGTGAATATTTGGACCCCTTTGAGGCCTTCGTTGGAAGCGGAATTTTTTCATATACTGCTAGACAGAAGAATTCTCAGTAAAACTTTGTGCTGTGTGTATTCAACACACAGAGTTGAACCATCCTTTATCCTGAGCAGTTTTGAAACACTCTTTGTGTGGAATTTGCAAGTGGGGAATTCAAGCGATTTGAGGCCAATCTTAGACATGGAAATATCTTCGTAGTAAAACTACACAGAGTCATTCGCAGAAACTAGTTTCTGATGTGTGCCTTCAACTCACAGAATTTAACCTTTCCATTAGTAGAGCAGTTTGGAAACACTCCATTTGTAAAGTCTGCAAGTGGATATTTGGACCTCTCTGAGTCCTTCGTTGGAAACACGATTTCTTCATATAACGCTAGGCAGAAGAATTCTCAGTAACTTCTTTGTGTTGTGTGTATTCAACTCACAGGGTTGAACCTTTCTTTACAGAGAGCAGATTTGAAACATTCTTTCCGTGGAATTTGCTAGTGCAGATTTCAAACGCTTCGAGGACAATGGTAGAAAAGGATATATCTTCGTATTAGAACGAGAGAAAATCATTCTCAGAAAACAGTTTGTAATGTGTGAGTTCAAGTCACAGCGTGTAACCTTTCTTTTAACTGAGCAGTTTGGAAACACTGTCTTTGTAATGTCTGCAATTGGTTAATTGGCCCTCTTTGAGCCCTCCTTTGGAAACGAGATTTCCTCATATAATGCTAGACAGAAGAATTCTCAGTAACTTCTTTGTGTTGTTTGTATTCAACTCACGGATTTGAACCTTCCTTTAGAGAGAGCAGATTTGAAACACTCTTTTTTTGGAATTTGCAAGTGCAGACTTCAAGCGCTTCTGGGCCTATGGCAGAAAAGGAAATATCTTCGTATAAAAACTACACAGAATCATTCTCAAGAACCACTTTGTGATGTGTGCGTTCAACTCACAGATTTTAACCTTTCTTTTAATCGAGCAGTTTGGAAACACTCTGTTTGTAAAGTCTGCAAGTGCATATTTGGACTTCTTTGAGGCCTTCATTGGAAACGGGATTTCTTCATATAATGCTAGACAGAAGAATTCTCAGTCACCTCTTTGTATTGTGTGTATTGATCTCACAGATTTGAACCTTCCTTTAGACAGAGTAGTTTTGAAACACTCTTTCTGTGGAATTCGCAAGTGGAGATTTCATGTGATTTGAGGCCAATCTTTGAAATGGAAATATCTTCGTGTAAAATTAGACAGAATCATTCTCAGAAACTACTTTGTGAAGTGTGCGTTCAGCTCACAGAGTTTCACCTTTCTTTTCATAGATCAGTTTAGAAAGACTCTCTCTGTAATGTCTGCTACTGAATTCTTGGACCCCTTTGAGGTCTTCGTTGGAAGCGGAATTTTTTCATATACTGCTGGACAGAAGAATACTCAGTAAACCTTTGTGCTGTGTGTATTCAACACACAGAGTTGAACCATCCTTTATCCTGAGCAGTTTTGAAACACTCTTCGTGTGGAATTTGCAAGTGGAGAATTCAAGCGATTTGAGGCCAATCTTAGAGATGGAAATATCTTCGTAGTAAAACTACACAGAGTCATTCGCAGAAACTAGTTTCTGATGTGTGCCTTCAACTCACAGAATTTAATCTTTCTTTTAATAGAGCAGTTTGAAAACACATCATTTGTAAAGACTGCAAGTGGTTATTTGGACCTCTCTGAGGCCTTCGTTGGAAACGGGATTTCTTCATATAACGCTAGACAGAAGAATTCTCAGTAACTTCTTTCTGTTTTGTGTATTCAACTCACAGGGTTGAACCTTTCTTTACAGAGAGCAGATTTGAAACATTCTTTCCGTGGAATTTGCTAGTGCAGATTTCAAACGCTTCGAGGACAATGGTAGAAAAGGATATATCTTCGTATTAGAACGAGAGAAAATCATTCTCAGAAAACACTTTGTAATGTGTGCGTTCAACTCACAGAGTTTAACCTTTCTTTTAACTGAGCAGTTTGGAAACACTGTCTTTGTAATGTATGTAAGTGGTTAATTGGCCCTCTTTGAGCCCTTCTTTGGAAACGAGATTTCCTCATATAATGCTAGACAGAAGAATTCTCAGTAACTTCTTTGTGTTGTTTGTATTCAACTCACGGATTTGAACCTTCCTTTAGAGAGAGCAGATTTGAAACACTCTTTTTTTGGAATTTGCAAGTGCAGACTTCAAGCGCTTCTGGGCCTATGGCAGAAAAGGAAATATCTTCGTATAAAAACTACACAGAATCATTCTCAAGAACGACTTTGTGATGTGTGCATTCAACTCACAGATTTTAACCTTTCTTTTAATCGAGCAGTTTGGAAACACTCTGTTTGTAAAGTCTGCAAGTGCATATTTGGACTTCTTTGAGGCCTTCATTGGAAACGGGATTCCTTCATATAATGCTAGACAGAAGAATTCTCAGTCACCTCTTTGTGTTGTGTGTATCGATCTCACAGATTTGAACCTTCCTTTAGACAGGGCAGTTTTGAAAAACTCTTTCTGTGGAATTTGCAAGTGGAGATTTCAAGTGATTTGAGGCCAATCCTTGAAATGGAAATATCTTCGTGTAAAATTAGACAGAATCATTGTCAGAAACTACTTTGTGATGTGTGCGTTCAGCTCACAGAGTTTCACCTTTCTTTTCATAGAGCAGTTTGCAAAGACTCTGTTTGTAATGTCTGCTAGTGAATACTTGGACCCCTTTGAGGCCTTCGTTGGAAGCGGAATTTTTTCATATACTGCTAGACAGAAAAATTCTCAGTAAAACTTTGTGCTGTGTGTATTCAGCTCACAGAGTTGAACCTTCCTTTATCCAGAGCAGTTTTGAAACACTCTTTCTGTGGAATTTGCAAGTGGAGATTTCAAGCGATTTGACGCCAATCTTAGTCATGGAAATATCTTCGTAGTAAAACTACACAGAGTCATTCGCAGAAACTAGTTTCTGATGTGTGCCTTGAACTCACAGAGTTTAATCTTTCTTTTAATAGAGCAGTTTGGAAACACTCCATTTGTAAAGTCTGCAAGTGGTTATTTGGACCTCTCTGAGGCCTTCGTTGGAAACGGAATTTCTTCATATAACGCTAGACAGAAGAATTCTCAGTAACTTCTTTGTGTTGTGTGTATTGAACTCACAGGGTTGAACCTTTCTTTACAGAGAGCAGATTTGAAACATTCTTTCCGTGGAATTTGCTAGTGCAGATTTCAAACGCTTCGAGGACAATGGTAGAAAATGATATATCTTCGTATTAGAACGAGAGAAAATCATTCTCAGAAAACACTTTGTAATGTGTGCGTTCAACTCACAGAGTTTAACCTTTCTTTTAATCGAGCAGTTTGGAAACACTCTCTTTGTAATGTCTGCAAGTGGTTAATTGGCCCTCTTTGAGCCCTTCTTTGGAAACGAGATTTCCTCATATAATGCTAGACAGAAGAATTCTCAGTAACTTCTTTGTGTTGTTTGTATTCAACTCACGGATTTGAACCTTCCTTTAGAGAGAGCAGATTTGAAACACTCTTTTTTTGGAATTTGCAAGTGCAGACTTCAAGCACTTCTGGGCCTATGGCAGAAAAGGAAATATCTTCGTATAAAAACTACACAGAATCATTCTCAAGAACCACTTTGTGATGTGTGCGTTCAACTCACAGATTTTAACCTTTCTTTTAATCGAGCAGTTTGGAATCACTCTGTTTGTAAAGTCTGCAAGTGCATATTTGGACTTCTTTGAGGCCTTCGTTGGAAACGGGATTTCTTCATATATTGCTAGACAGAAGAATTCTCAGTCACCTCTTTGTGTTGTGTGTATTGATCTCACAGATTTGAACCTTCCTTTAGACAGAGCAGTTTTGAAAAACTCTTTCTGTGGAATTTGCAAGTGGAGATTTCAAGTGATTTGAGGGCAATCTTTGAAATGGAAATATCTTTGTGTAAAATTAGACAGAATCATTCTCAGCAACTACTTAGTGATGTGTGCGTTCAGCTCACAGAGTTCCACCTTTCTCTTCACAGATCAGTTTGGAAAGACTCTCTCTGTAATGTCTGCTACTTAATACTTGGACCCCTTTGAGGTCTTCGTTGGAAGAGGAACTTTTTCATATACTGCTGGACAGAATAATTCTCAGTAAATCTTTGTGCTGTGTGTATTCAACACACAGAGTTGAACCTTCCTTTATCCAGAGCAGTTTTGAAACACTCTTTCTGTGGAATTTGCAAGTGGAGATTTCAAGCGATTTGACGCCAATCTTAGTCATGGTAATATCTTCGTAGTAAAACTACACAGAGTCATTCGCAGAAACTAGTTTCTGATGTGTGCCTTCAACTCACAGAATTTAACCTTTCTTTTAATAGAGCAGTTTGTAAACACTCCATTTGTAAAGTCTGCAAGTGGATAATTGGACCTCTCTGAGTCCTTCGTTGGAAACGGGATTTCTTCATATAACGCTAGACAGAAGAATTCTCAGTAACTTCTTTGTGTTGTGTGTATTCAACTCACAGGGTTGAACCTTTCTTTACAGAGAGCAGATTTGAAACATTCTTTCCGTGGAATTTGCTAGTGCAGATTTCAAACGCTTCGAGGACAATGGTAGAAAAGGATATATCTTCGTATTAGAACGAGAGAAAATCATTCTCAGAAAACAGTTTGTAATGTGTGCGTTCAACTCACAGAGTTTAACCTTTCTTTTAATCGAGCAGTTTGGAAACACTCTCTTTGTAATGTCTGCAAGTGGTTAATTGGCCCTCTTTGAGCGCTTCTTTGGAAACGAGATTTCCTCACATAATGCTAGACAGAAGAATTCTCAGTAACTTCTTTGTGTTGTTTGTATTCAACTCACGGATTTGAACCTTCCTTTAGAGAGAGCAGATTTGAAACACTCTTTTTTTGGAATTTGCAAGGGCAGATTTCAAGCTCTTCTCGGCCTATGGCAGAAAAGGAAATATCTTCGTATAAAAACTACACAGAATCATTCTCAAGAACGACTTTGTGATGTGTGCGTTCAACTCACAGATTTTAACCTTTCTTTTAATCGAGCAGTTTGGAAACACTCCGTTTGTAAAGTCTGCAAGTGCATATTTGGACTTCTCTGAGGCCTTCATTGGAAACGGGATTTCTTCATATAACGCTAGACAGAAGAATTCTCAGTCACCTCTTTGTGTTGTGTGTATTGATCTCACAGATTTGAACCTTCCTTTAGACAGAGTAGTTTTGAAAAACTATTTCTGTGGAATTTGCAAGTGGAGATTTCATGTGATTTGAGGTCAATCTTTGAAATGGAAATATCTTCGTGTAAAATTAGACAGAATCATTGTCAGAAACTACTTTGTGATGTGTGCGTTCAGCTCACAGAGTTTCACCTTTCTTTTCATAGAGCAGTTTGGAAAGACTCTGTCTGTAACGTCTGCTAGTGAATACTTGGACCCCTTTGAGGCCTTCGTTGGAAGCGGAATTTTTTCATATACTGCTAGACAGAATAATTCTCAGTAAATCTTTGTGCTGTGTGTATTCAACACACAGAGTTGAACCTTCCTTTATCCAGAGCAGTTTTGAAACACTCTTTCTGTGGAATTTGCAAGTGGAGATTTCAAGCGATTTGACGCCAATCTCAGTCATGGAAATATCTTCGTAGTAAAACTACACAGAGTCATTCGCAGAAACTAGTTTCCGATGTGTGCCTTCAACTCACAGAGTTTAACCTTTCTTTTAATAGAGCAGTTTGGAAACACTCTATTTGTAAAGTCTGCAAGTGGATATTTGGACCTCTCTGTGGCCTTCGTTGGAAACGGGATTTCTTCATATAACGCTAGACAGAAGAATTCTCAGTAACTTCTTTGTGTTGTGTGTATTCAACTCACAGGGTTGAACCTTTCTTTACAGAGAGCAGATTTGAAACATTCTTTCCGTGGAATTTGCTAGTGCAGATTTCAAACGCTTCGAGGACAATGGTAGAAAAGGATATATCTTCGTATTAGAACGAGAGAAAATCATTCTCAGAAAACACTTTGTAATGTGTGCGTTCAACTCACAGAGTTTAACCTTTCTTTTAATCGAGCAGTTTGGAAACACTCTCTTTGTAATGTCTGCAAGTGGTTAATTGGCCCTCTTTGAGGCCTTCTTTGGAAACGAGATTTCCTCACATAATGCTAGACAGAAGAATTCTCAGTAACTTCTTTGTGTTGTTTGTATTCAACTCACGGATTTGAACCTTCCTTTAGAGAGAGCAGATTTGAAACACTCTTTTTTGGGAATTTGCAAGGCCAGATTTCAAGCGCTTCTAGGCCTATGGCAGAAAAGGAAATATCTTCGTATAAAAACTACACAGAATCATTCTCAGAAACTACTTTGTGATGTGTGCGTTCAACTCACAGGGTTTAACCTTTCTTTTCATAGAGCAGTTTGGAAGCACTCTGGTTGTAAAGTCTGCAAGTGCATATTTGGACTTCTTTGAGGCCTTCGTTGGAAATGGGATTTCTTCATATAATGCCAGACAGAAGAATTCTCAGTCACCTCTTTGTGTTGTGTGTATTGATCTCACAGATTTGAGCCTTCCTTTAGACAGAGCAGTTTTGAAAAACTCTTTCTGTGGAATTTGCAAGTGGAGATTTCAAGTGATTTGAGGCCAATCTTTGAAATGGAAATATCTTCGTGTAAAATTAGACAGAATCATTCTCAGAAACTACTTTGTGATGTGTGCGTTCAGCTCACGGAGTTTCACCTTTCTTTTCATAGATCAGTTTGGAAAGACTCTCTGTGTAATGTCTGCTACAGAATACTTGGACCCCTTTGAGGTCTTCGTTGGAAGCAGAATTTTTTCATATAGTGCTGGACAGAATAATTCTCAGTAAATCTTTGTGCTGTGTGTATTCAACACACAGAGTTGAACGTTCCTTTATCCAGAGTAGTTTTGAAACACTCTTTCTGTGGAATTTGCAAGTGGAGATTTCAAGCGATTTGACGCCAATCTTAGTCATGGAAATATCTTCGTAGTAAAACTACACAGAGTCATTCGCAGAAACTAGTTTCTGATGTGTGCCTTCAACTCACAGAATTTAACCTTTCTTTTAATAGAGCAGTTTGGAAACACTCTATTTGTAAAGTCTGCAAGTGGATATTTGGACCTCTCTGAGGCCTTCGTTGGAAATGGGATTTCTTCATATAACGCCAGACAGAAGAATTCTCAGTAACTTGTTTGTGTTGTGTGTATTCAACTCACAGGGTTGAACCTTTCTTTACAGAGAGCAGATTTGAAACATTCTTTCCGTGGAATTTGCTAGTGCAGATTTCAAACGCTTCGAGGACAATGGTAGAAAAGGATATATCTTCGTATTAGAACGAGAGAAAATCATTCTCAGAAAACACTTTGTAATGTGTGCGTTCAACTCACAGAGTTTAACCTTTCTTTTAATCGAGCCGTTTGGAAACACTGTCTTTGTAATGTCTGCAAGTGGTTAATTGGCCCTCTTTGAGCCCGTCTTTGGAAACGAGATTTCCTCATATAATGCTAGACAGAAGAATTCTCAGTAACTTCTTTGTGTTGTTTGTATTCAACTCACGGATTTGAACCTTCCTTTAGAGAGAGCAGATTTGAAACACTCTTTTTTTGGAATTTGCAAGTGCAGACTTCAAGCGCTTCTGGACCTATGGCAGAAAAGGAAATATCTTCGTATAAAAACTACACAGAATCATTCTCAAGAACTACTTTGTGATGTGTGCGTTCAACTCACAGATTTTAACCTTTCTTTTAATCGAGCAGTTTGGAAACACTCTGTTTGTAAAGTCTGCAAGTGCATATTTGGACTTCTTTGAGGCCTTCGTTGGAAACGGGATTTCTTCATATACTGCTAGACAGAAGAATTCTCAGTCACCCCTTTGTGTTGTGTGTATTGATCTCACAGATTTGAACCTTCCTTTAGACAGAGTAGTTTTGAAAAACTCTTTCTGTGGAATTCGCAAGTGGAGATTTCATGTGATTTGAGGCCAATCTTTGAAATGGAAATATCTTCGTGTAAAATTAGACAGAATCATTCTCAGAAACTACTTTGTGATGTGTGCGTTCAGCTCACAGAGTTCCACCTTTCTTTTCACAGATCAGTTTGGAAAGACTCTCTCTGTAATGTCTGCTACTTAATACTTGGACCCCTTTGAGGTCTTCGTTGGAAGAGGAACTTTTTCATATACTGCTGGACAGAAGAATTCTCAGTAAATCTTTGTGCTGTGTGTATTCAACACACAGAGTTGAACCTTCCTTTATCCAGAGCAGTTTTGAAACACTCTTTCTGTGGAATTTGCAAGTGGAGATTTCAAGCGATTTGACGCCAATCTTAGTCATGGAAATATCTTCGTAGTAAAACTACACAGAGTCATTCGCAGAAACTAGTTTCTGATGTGTGCCTTCAACTCACAGAGTTTAATCTTTCCTTTAATAGAGCAGTTTGGAAACACTCCATTTGTAAAGTCTGCAAGTGCTTATTTGGACCTCTCTGAGGCCTTCGTTGGAAACGGGATTTCTTCATATAATGTTAGACAGAAGAATTCTCAGTAACTTCTTTGTGTTGTGTGTATTCAACTCACAGGGATGAACCTTTCTTTACAGAGAGCAGATTTGAAACATTCTTTCCGTGGAATTTGCTAGTGCAGATTTCAAACGCTTCGAGGACAATGGTAGAAAAGGATATATCTTCGTATTAGAACGAGAGAAAATCATTCTCAGGAAACACTTTGTAATGTGTGCATTCAACTCACAGAGTTTAACCTTTCTTTTAATCGAGCAGTTTGGAAACACTCTCTTTGTAATGTCTGCAAGTGGTTAATTGGCCCTCTTTGAGCCCTTCTTTGGAAACGAGATTTCCTCACATAATGCTAGACAGAAGAATTCTCAGTAACTTCTTTGTGTTGTTTGTATTCAACTCACGGATTTGAACCTTCCTTTAGAGAGAGCAGATTTGAAACACTCTTTTTTTGGAATTTGCAAGTGCAGACTTCAAGCGCTTCTGGGCCTATGGCAGAAAAGGAAATGTCTTCGTATAAAAACTACACAGAATCATTCTCAAGAACTACTTTGTGATGTGTGCGTTCAACTCACAGATTTTAACCTTTCTTTTAATCGAGCAGTTTGGAAACACTCTGGTTGTAAAGTCTGCAAGTGCATATTTGGACTTCTTTGAGGCCTTCCTTGGAAACGGGATTTCTTCATATAATGCTAGACAGAAGAATTCTCAGTCACCTCTTTGTGTTGTGTGTATTGATCTCACAGATTTGAACCTTCCTTTAGACAGAGCAGTTTTGAAAAACTCTCTCTGTGGAATTTGCAAGTGGAGATTTCAAGAGATTTGACGCCAATCTTTGAAATGGAAATATCTTCGTGTAAAATTAGACAGAATCATTGTCAGAAACTACTTTGTGATGTGTGCGTTCAGCTCACAGAGTTTCACCTTTCTTTTCATAGAGCAGTTTGCAAAGACTCTGTTTGTAATGTCTGCTAATGAATACTTGGACCCCTTTGAGGCCTTCGTTGGAAGCGGAATTTTTTCATATACTGCTAGACAGAAGAATACTCAGTAAATCTTTGTGCTGTGTGTATTCAACACACAGAGTTGAACCATCCTTTATCCTGAGCAGTTTTGAAACACTCTTCTTGTGGAATTTGCAAGTGGAGAATTCAAGCGATTTGAGGCCAATCTTAGAGATGGAAATATCTTCGTAGTAAAACTACACAGAGTCATTCGCAGAAACTAGTTTCAGATGTGTGCCTTCAACTCACAGAATTTAACCTTTCTTTTAATAGAGCAGTTTGGAAACATTCCATTTGTAAAGTCTGCAAGTGGATATTTGGACCTCTCTGAGTCCTTCGTTGGAAACGGGATTTCTTCATATAACGCTAGACAGA